>NC_000002.12:27368121-27520871 GCF_000001405.40 Homo sapiens | reverse complement strand
TAGAGACGGGGTTTCACCATGTTGGCCAGGCTGGTCTCGAACTCCTGACCTCAAGTGATCTGCCTGCTTCGGCCTCCCAGAATGCTGGGATTACAGGCGTGAGCCACCGTGCCCAGCCAGCCCACCTCAATTTGGGTGCTAGATTTGCAATGCTAAAAAGAGAAATGTAGTCCTACCAAAATATTAAAGTTACATTTAATTTAAAAAGTATACAGCTTTGGTTTTTACATAAAATTAAAAATTCAGTTCCTCAGTCACATTAGCCACATTTCAAGTGCTCAATAGCCACATGTGGCTGGTGGCCAATGTTTTGGACAGCGCAGGTCTAGCTGCATTTGGCAAAGTCCAAATTCCTGCCTGGCTTTAACCTCCCACATCCCTCCCCTTCCTACTTCTTCACAATCCCTCACTGCGCTCTAAAGTGACTTGCCACTCTGGTTAGACCTGTGTCCCTCACATATCATGCCCAGTCCCCCTTCTGGGACTTGGTGAATGACCTAACAGGAATGCTCTTCTGTCCACCTATCCAAGCCATAACCACCAGGCCTAGCTCAAAATACCACCCCTTCCATGAGGCCTTCTTTTTGCTATAATGCATTCTGACCCCCACCTTCTTTATACCTCCACTGGACTTCAGTAAGGACCATAGTTTATTTTGGGGACCTGGTGGGTGCTCACTAAATGTTCATTGATTGATTCCTTTCACATAGGGTTGCCAGATTTTGTGAATAAAAATACAGGACATCCAAATATATAATGAAAAAAATCAAAAATATCTCAAATATTGCATAGGGCATACTTGATGGAAAAATTATTCCATATTTATCTGAAATTCAAATTTAACTGGGCGTCCTGTATTTTTATTTGCCGAATCTGGCGACCCCATTTTCATGACCATCTGTTGTGCCGTCTGCTCAACATCCACTCCTTCTGGTATCAGCACCTTGGTTTTCCTCTGAGGATCTATCGCTTCCCCATGCTCAGGTAATGAGGTTGGATTGAGGCTCACCTCCCAGCCCTTCTTCCACCACCATCCTGAAGGGAAAGCACATGATCCAGACTGGGCAGAGCATCCCTTGCTCTGGAGAACAGTGATTGCTTCAGGGACATGCATGTGTCCCAAGCAAGAGCCCCCAACCAGGCATTTGCAAGAACCACAGGACAGGCAAGCTCTTTGCCCACTAGTGTTGCTACGTAAATTGTCAGGCTGGCACTACTGGTGGCCAGTTTGCCACCTAATGGAAAAAACTTGCCTAAGAATGAGAGCAACGGCCGGGTGCAGTGACTCACGCCTGTAATCCCAGCACTTTAGGAGGCTGAGGCAGGTGGATCACCTGAGGTCAGGAGTTCGAGACCAGCCTGGCCAACATGGCAAAACCCTGTCTCTGCTAAAAAATATAAAATTAGCTGGGCATGGTGGGGGGTGCCTGTAATCCCAGCTACTCGGGAGGCTGAGGCAGGAGAATCAATGGAACCTCAGAGGCGGAGGTTGCACTGAGCTGAAATAGCACCGCTATACTCCAGCCTGGGCGATAGAGCAAGACCCCATCTCAAAAAAAAAAAAAGAATGAGAGCAACACAGGGGAAAACAGAGTTAAGGGTGGAAAGTTCTGGAACACATTAGATTCAGCTGCCCTAAGATTGTTCAGTTATATCAGCCACCATTTTCTTTGTTTAGCTTAAACCAGTATAAACTCGTTTTCCATCACGTTTGTAACTGAAAGAGTCTTGCCTAATAATTACAATTTCACAAACACACCCATGTGTGCACACACACTCCTTAAGGGGAAGATGCACCTAATAGGAGGAGCAGAAGCACACAGAAAAGGCAGCCTGTACCCTTGCACATTTCCATATCTCTACAAAATGCCCTCCTCTGGCAGCCTAAGCATTGAGGCCAGGTCCCACCCAACCCTGCCCCATCATATCCCTACCTGCAGCATGGCCAGCGCCCGCCAGAAGAGCTTGGAGTTGCTAATCCGAAGGTCCAACATGTGGTTTTGTAGGATCTTACCAAGAAGCACATGAGCACCTGTACTCACTGTATTCAGCACCCATTTGGTGCTTAGCTCACGCTGGAACTTCTGAAAAGGGCAGACACATGGGGGTGTCAAAAATTAGAGGACAGAAAAGCAGCAGAGTGAACAGGGCCCTGTTATCAGACAGGAAACCAACTGTCAAGAACCAGGGACCAAAATGCAAACATGATTTGTTTGAGCAGCCCAGCGTTTAAATGTTAGGGCAATAGATGTAAACCAGGATTGTCTCAGGCAAACCTGGTAGCTTCACCCATTTGTGTTTTTGACCCCTAGGTAGACAGACATGTTCTCTGAGTCCTTCCATATTAGAATTTTGATCCTGCTGAATTGTTCCTTTTTCTCCCCGGGTATCAGACAGGAGGAGTGGGATTCATTCCACTAAACCACAGGCTTCTTGAAAGGGCAGAGATGGTGACTTATTCTGCTCCAGGGCCCCAGTTTTTTAGACCATGACTGACACATATTTGCTGATCAATACATTTGTTGAGGCCGGGCACAGTGGCTCACTCCTGTAATCCCACCACTTTGGGAGGCCAAGGTTGGGGGATCACCTGAGGTCAGGAGTTCTCAACAAGCCTAGCCAACATGATGAAATGCTGTCTCTACTAAATACACAAAAATTAGCTAGGAGTGGTGGCATACACCTGTAATCCCAGCTACTCGGGGGGCTGAGGCACAAGAATCACTTGAACCCGGGAGGTGGAGGTTGCAGTGAGCCTAGATTGTGCCACTGCACTCCAGCCTGGGCAACAGAGTGAGACTATGTCTCAGGGGAAAAAAAAATGTTTGTTGAAAAATGAATTCTATTTAATTTTTCTAACAGCCCTACAGAATAAGTTTACCTATCCTCATTTCTACATATGAGGAAACTAGAGGTCAGAAGTAAATTAACTTGGAGAAGCTCATATGATAACGAGATGGAGAATGAGGACCTAAATCCCGGTCTTCTGATTCAATGATGAGGGCATTTCCTACTTTGCCACAAATATCTCCTGGATGAATGAGAGAACCTATGTAAAGGCATGTTGAAAACTAAAAAATTGTTCAAACATGTGGTATCGCGAGTATAAAACTGCCCCTTGTTTTTGGCCCTTATATCTTGTCCACCTTGGGGCACTTATAACACCTATTGGCACATTAGCAGGGAAACTGGGGCCCAGTAAAGGTGTTGAGGGGATTAATTAACTGGTGATATGGTTAGGCTTTGTGTCCTCACCCAAATCTCATCTTGAATTGTAATCCCCATAATCCCCATGTGTCAAGAGAGAGACCAGGTGGAGGTAATTGAATCATGGGGGGCAGGGGGCGTTCCCCCATGCTGTTCTTGGGATAGTGAGTTCTCATGAGATCTGATGGTTTTATAAGGGGGCTGTTCCCCCTTCACTTGGCACTTCTCCTTTCTGCCACCTTGGGAAGAAGATGCCTTACTTCCCCTTCACCTTCCACCATGATTGTAAGTTTCCTGAGGCCTCCCCAGCCATGCTGAACTGTGGGTCAATTAAACCTCTTTCCTTTATAAATCACCCAGTCTCGGGCAGTTCTTTAGAGCAGTATGAAAATGTACTGGCCAAGGTGGGCGGATCATGAGGTCAGGAGATTGAGACCATCCTGGCTAACATGGTGAAACCCCGTCTCTACTAAAAATACAAAAATTAGCCAGGCATGGTAGCAAGCACCTGTAAGTCAGAGCTACTTAGGAGGCTGAGGCAGGAGAATCACTTGAACCCAGGAGGCAGAGGTTGCAGTGAGCCTAGATCACGCCACTGCACTCCAGCCTGGCGACAGAATGAGACTCCATATTAAAAAAAAAAAAAAAAAAGGTACTAATACACGTGGTCCTAGCCAGGCTGAGGAAACAGGCTACTGCTACTTTTACCTCTTTATTCTGGAACTCTAGAAATAGCTGTTCACACAAAACCCTGGAAGAGGGTATATTGAAAACATTTTAATAAGTGAATGTCCACGACACTAAATATAAGAACAGCATGAAATTTCAGCATGAAACTGGCCAGTAAGTATGCAGTACTGATGCTATAGGGTGCGTGTCAGACTGCACTTTGGGAGAGAGGTCAATTAGATCTAGGTTATACCACTAACCATTGATACCATTAACATTAACACCATTAACACAAAAATATTTTAAATTTTACAAAATTTGGAGTGCGACACATTCATTTTAAAGTACACATGGAAAAATCGGCCTGGATATAGCCAGGAAAATCCTTAAAAAGAAGAATAGGCTGGGCACAGTGGCTCACGCCTATAATCCCAGCACTTTGGGAGGCTGAGGTGAGTGGATCACTTGAAGTCAGGAGTTTGAGACCAGCCTGGCCAACAGGGTGAAACCTGATCTCTACTAAAAATACAAAAGAAAATTTGCCTGGTGTAGTGGCGCGTGCCTGTAATCCCAGCTACTTGGGAGGCTGAGGCAAGAGAATCACTTGAACCTGGGGGGCGGAGGTTGCAGTGAGCCGAGATCATACCATTGAACTCCAACTTGGGCAACAGAATGAGACTCCATCTCAAAAAAAAAAAAAAAAAAAAAAAAACAAGAATGAAGAACAAACCCTATTGGATACCAAACATACCATAACGCCTCCATAATTAAAACATATGGTACCAGCACATCAATAGACAAACCAGTGGAACAGAATAGAAAGTCCATAAATAGACCAATGCACATAGAAATTGAGTATGTGACACAGATAGCATCCTAAATCACTCAGGAAAAGATGAACTTAAAAAAATTATATTGGAGCCAGGCACGGTGGCTCACCCCAGTAACCCCAGCTCTTTGGGAGGCTGGGACAGGAGGATTGCTTGAGGCCAGGGATTTGAGACCAGCGTGTGCAACATAGCAAGAACCTGTCTCTACAAAAAAAAAAAAAAAAATTTTGTTTAATTAGCCAGGCATGGTGGCATGTGCCTGTAGTCCCAGCTACTTGGGAGGCTGAGGTGGGATGATTGCTTCAGCCCAGGAGTTTGAGGTTGCAGTGAAATCTGATCACATCACTGCACACCAGCGTGGGTGACAGAGTGAGATTCTGTCTCAAAAAAAAAAAAAAAATATATATATATATATATATACGAACAATTGGATAATCACTTGGAAAAATAAATAATTGGATTCATGCCTTACCCCATACACAAGAATAAACTCCCAATAAATTAAAGATCTAAGTGTTTAAAAAAGAAAAAAAGAAACCATCTCTACTAGCAGAAAACATGGATGGAATTCCTTTACAATTTAGATGTTAGAAAAAGCTTTCTGGACCACGCCTATAATCCCAGTGCTTTGGGAGGCAGAGGCGAGTGGATCACTTGAGGTCAGGAGTTTAAGACCAGCCTGGCCAACATGGTGACACCCCTGGCCAACATGGTGAAACAAAATTAGCTAGGCATGGTGGCAAGCGCCTGTAGTCCCAGTCACTCGGGAGGCTGAGGTGGGATGATCACCAGAGCCCAGGAAGTTGAGGCTGCAGTGAGCCATGATCACACCACAGCACTCCAGCCTAGGTGACAGAATGAGACCCTGTCTCAAAAAAATAATAAAATAAGGCTGGGCGTGGTGGCTCACGCCTGTAATCAGCACTTTGGGAGGCCGACATGGGCAGATCACCTGAGGTCAGGAGTTCGAGACCAGCCTGGCCAACATGGTGAAACCCTGTCTCCACTATAAATGCAAAAATTAACTGTGCATGGTGCTGGGCACCTGTAATCCCAGCTACTTGGGAGGCTGAGGCAGAAGAATTGCTTGAACCTGGGAGGCAGAGGTTGCAGTGAGCTGAGATCACATCACTGCACTCCAGCCTGGGTGACAGAGCAAGACTCCATCTCAAAAAACAATAATAATAATAGTAATAAAATAATAATAAATAAATGAAAACTACACAGAAGTGGCATTTCTAATCTATCAGGTTGACAAAATCCAAAAACTTCACAAAACTCTCCAAGAGGCTGTAGGAGAGCAGCATTCTTGTATATTGCTGGTATGGAAAGCAAAATAGTAAACCCTATGGAAGGAAATTTTGCAATATCTAACAAAATGGCATATGTATGTACCGTTTGACCCAGCTCTAATACTTCTAGGAATTTATCCCAAAGATACTCTTCTGACATTATAAAAATACATGTACATTCATTACATCATGATTGATCATAGCAAAATATGGGAAACCTATATGTCCTACATAGGAGATTGCCTGAGTAAACTATTACATATGTGGAAACACACAAAGGTAAAAATTAATGAGGAAGAGCTCTATGATCCAATATGGAGTGATTTTCAGAATATCTTCTTAAAGCACAAAAGAGTATAGTAGACTGCCTTTTGTATAGGAAGTGCAAACTTATATGTACACACACACTTTTCTCCAAAAAGAAACATAGGAGGATAAGCCAGTAACTAATTAAACTAATTCCCTACAGGCATGAATGGAAATGGAATGAGACGGCAGATATATTGATGATGTTGGAAATCAACATTATCACTAAGGGAAAGAGGAAGAAGAGTGGGAATATATATACAGTATTTATATAGATGTATATATAGATGTATGTGTGTGTATATATATATATACGCAGACACATTCATCTGTATGTAAACAAACATACATATGTATATGTATGTATGCATGTATATATACATAAACACACACATACACACACCCTTATTCTTTCTACTGATAGGGCTTAGAGGCAAAGACACACCAGTAGCAGTGAACATACCTAGCATTTGGGTTTCTAAATACTAGAACCCACTAACAAGATCAGGTCTCCTCAGAAAAATGACTGACTCCAGGGCTGGATCAGGGAAAGTATAGGTGAGCCTGGGTCAGTGGTTTTGTGTTCCTGCATAGGAGATTGACAGGGCAAACTATTGTTACACACACACACACACACACACACACACACACACACACAAATGCAAATAATAAGTAATAATGAGGAAGAGATCTATAAACTGCACTGCAGTGATTTTCAGAATATCTTAAGCAAAAAATGCAAGATATAAAAAAGATGCTACCTTTTGCATAAGAAGGTTATTATTATTTTACAAAAAGAAACACAACAAAGAGTGTTCAAATACTGATGTGGATATGTCACAAGGACACAGGAACCAGCTTGAATGAACTCTCATTTTGAGCATTAAAATAAATAATGAATAATAAGAATGGATTAAAACACATTTAACAACAACAAAAAATTCATGAGTCCATATTGACACTAAAAAAACAAAGATAGATAGGGTAGATAGGACGGGGAGAGAAGAAAAAGATTTTCTTTCTTTCTTTTTTTTTTTTTTGTGACGGAGTCTCGCTCTATCACCCAGGCTGGAGTGCAATGGCACGATCTCAGCTCACTGCAACCTCTACCTCCTGGTTCAAACAATTCTCCGACTCAGCCTCCTGAGTATCTGGGACTACAGGTGCACACCACCACACCCGGCTAATTTTTGTATTTTAGTAGAGATGGGGTTTTGCTATGCTGGCCAGGCTGGTCTCAAACTGCTGGCCTCAAGTGATCCACCTGCCTCAGCCTCCCAAAGTGCTGGGATTACAGATGTGAGCCACCGCACCTGGATGAGAGAGATTTTCTTTACAGAAGAATGCCAACTACTGAATATAGATGGAAGGGATAGAAATAGAAAATCACCATTGAAAAACTACCATAGTAATAATTAATTCAACCAAGAATCATCAGTGGATGCTAAAACCATTGGGTGAAAGATTGCTGAGGAATAGGATACAGAGAAATCTAACAGACACCATCCTAGCTAAACGATGGAATGTAGCATCACCAATAAAGGGGCAAACTGACATCAGGTACCTCCCGATGTGATACACTGATAAGGGCACAACTTCCCCTATGCAGTACTCCTGCCAAAAAATTTAACCTGAATATCATGACGAAACAATCAGGCAAATCCAAAGTGAGGCATATTCTGGAAAACAACTGACCTGGACTTACTTCTAAGATATCAATGTCATCAAAGAGATAAAGAACAACTGAGAAACTCATCTGGAGTAAAGGAAAACCCAAAAGACCTGATAACTGAATGCAGTGCATTATCCTTGATTGGATCCTGGATCTGGGAAATAAAAACAATACAGGAATATTTGGGGAAATTTGAATATGGTCTAGATAATAGATAATAGTATATTAATTGTCATTTTCCTGAGTGGAAAAGTATATTGTAATTATGTAGGTGAATGCCCTTGTTCTTAGAGGACACATACCAAAGTAATTAGTATAACATATCAGGCATCTCCAATTATCTTCTTTTTTTTTTTTTTTTGAGATGGAGTCTCACTCTGTCACCCAGGCTGGAGTGCAGTGGCATGATCTCGGTTCACTGCAACCTCCACCTCCCAGGTTCAAGTGATCCTCCTGCCTCAGCCTCCCGAGTAGCTGGGACTATGAGCATGTGCCACCATGCCCGGCTAATTTTTGTATTTTTAGTAGAGATGGGTTTCACCATGTTGGCCAGGCTGGTCTTGAACTCTTGACCTTGTGATCCACCCACCTCAGCCTCCCAAAGTACTGGGATTGTAGGCGTGAGCCACCACGCCCGGCTTTTTTTTTTTTTTTTTTTTTGAGATGGAGTCTTGTGTCGCCCAGGCTGCAGTGCAGTGGTATGATCTCAGCTCACTGCAACCTCTGCCTCCCAGGTTCAAGCGATTCTTCTGCCTCAGCCTCCTGAGTAGTTGTGATTACAGGTCCAAGCCACCACGCCTGGCTAATTTTTGTATTTTTAGTAGAGATCAGGTTTCACCATGTTGATCAGGCTGGTCTCGAACTCCTGACCTTGTGATCTGCCTGCCTTGGCCTCCCAAAGTGCTGGGATTACAGGCATGAGCCACCGTACCTGGCTCCAATTATCTTTCATATAATTCAGGGGAAAAGAAAGAGATGAAGCAAATATGGCAAAATGTTAATAATTGATGAATCTAGGGAAAAGTATATGGGTGTTCCTTGCACCATTTTCGTATTTTTCTGTAGGTTTGATTTTTATCAAAATAAAAGTGTATCCACTGTCACTTCGGAAGGCAAAAAAGAAAACAAAACAAAACAAAATAAAAGTGTAGGAACAGTTTACATAGAAAATATTTCTTTTTTTTATTTTTAATTTTTATTATTATTTTTTTTTGAGACAGAGTTTCACTCTTGTTGCCCTGGCTGGAGTGCAATGGTGCGTTCTCAGCTTACTGCAACCTCGGCTTCTCCTGCCTCAGCCTCCCGACTAGCTGGGATTACAGGCACCCACTACCATGCTCAGGTAATTTTTTTGTATTTTTAGTAGAGACAGGGTTTCACCATGTTGGCCAGGGTGGTCTCGAACTCTTGACCTCAGGTGACCTGCCCGCCTTGGCATCCCAAAGTGCTGGGATTACAGGCGTGAGCCACGGCGTCTGTCAAAAATATTTCTATAGCTAAAGATTGACCAGCCCAAACAAAGCCTCTTTATTTCAAACAATTCCAATTCATTTAGAAAGATAAAACCAGGCTGAGTGCAGTGGCTCACTCCTGTAATCCCAGCACTTCGAGAGGCCAAGGCAGGTGTATTACCTGAGGTCCGAAGTTCGAGACCAGCCCGGCCAACATGGTGAAACCCTGTCTCTACAAAAAATGAAAAAAGTAGCAGGGCATAGAGGCGTGTGCCTGTAATCCCAGCTACTCAGGAGGCTGAGGCAGGAGAATCGCTCGAACCCGGGAGGCAGAGGTTGCAATGAGCCAAGATCACACCACTGTACTCCAGCCTGGGCCACAGAGCGAGACTCTGTCTCACAAATAAATAAACAAATAAATAAAACCAACATCAACCAAAAGGCAAAAAACACAAAGGAAAAGATTGATAGATTTGACTATGTAACATTTTAAATAAAATGTCTCTACATAAAAAACGTAAAAACAAAAGAAAATATTAAGCTGGGAAAAATATAGAAAAGAAAAAAAGGGCTACTGTTTTTGCTATACACACCCCTTCTTACAAATAAGAAAAAAAAATACCCCCCAAAGAAAGAATGGGTAAATAGACCCAAAAGACAAGAAGCAGTACATGAAAGACAAAAAAAAAGTATCAAATGGCCAATATATATTTTTAAGTAGTCCACCTACACAATAATTAAAGAAATATAAATTAAAATAACACTAAAATGCCCTTTTGTTGCTTTACTGATTAGCAAAGATTTTTTTATAAGGATGCTATCCAGTATGTATAAGGGTGTAAGGGAACAAGCAACTTCACGCTTTATTTATAAACCTCTTTGGAGGGCAGTTTGGCTGTATGTATCAAAAAGCTTCAAAATTTTACATCCCCTTTGACCCAGTGATTTCGCTTTTGGGGTTTATCCTGGTGAAACAAGTCAAATGCCTAAAAGATGTGTTTATAAGGATGTTCAGTGCAGCACTTTAATAAAAACCATAATATTGAAGTTGTCTCTGTGTCTGATAATCGGAGTTAAACAATTTATGGTACATCTATACAGTGGAATATTACATTGACACTAAAAATGATAGTAGTGGCCGGGCGTGGTGGCTCACGCCTGTAATCGCAGCACTTTGGGAGGCTGAGGCGGGTGGATCACAAGTTCAGAAGATCGAGACCATCCTGGCTAACACGGTGAAACCCCGTCTCTACTAAAAAATACAAAAAATTAGCCAGGCGTGGTGGCGGGCACCTGTAGTCCCAGCTGCTCAGGAGGCTGAGGCAGGAGAATGGCGTGAACCTGGGAGACAGAGCTTGCAGTGAGCGGAGATCGCGCCACTGCACTCCAGTCTGGGTGACAGAGCGAGACTCCATCTTAAAAAAAAAAAAAATGATAGTAGTGATCTATCAGATGAGAACATGTCCCGGCATGATAAAAATAAATAATAATAATAATAATTTTTGAAAATGATGGTGATCTATTAGTACAGAAAGATGTTCATAAAGCAACTTTAAAACAGCATATCAAGTATGGTCTTACTTTTGTACAAATATATTTATATATGCATATAATAGAAATTTAAAAGGACATTCTCCAAAATTTGTTAGAGTGTTTTTTTTTTTTTTTTGAAGATGGTAGATTTGGAGTGATTTTTTCTTTTTTGCATTTCTGTAATTTGTAACGTCTTTACTATAAAAAATGTATCTATAAAAAATGTATGGCTGTTAAAATGAACATTTTTCTTTAAAAATACAGTGTTTTGGCTAGGCGTAGTGGCTCACGCCTGCAATCTCAGCACTTTGGGAGGCTAAGGCGGGTGGATCACTTGAGTCTAGGAGTTGGCAAACAGCCTGGGCAATGTGGAGAAACCCGATCTCTACAAAAAAAATACAAAAATTAGCCAGTCATGGTGGTGAGTGCCTGTGGTCCTACCTACTTGAGAAGCTGAGGTGGGAGGATCAGTTGAGCAGGGGAGGCGGAGGTTGCAGTGAGCTGAGATGGCACCACTGCACTTTAGTCTGGGCCACAGAGTGAGACTTTGTCTTTAAAAAATAAAAAGAATGAAAGACATTGGAAGGAGAGTGGATTCCCTGTTCAGGGGCAGAGAAACTTCCGCTTCTATACGAGTTCTGAGTCCAGGTAAGTCAGTGTTTCAGCTGTGTCTGGTCAAGCCAGGAAACTTCTGACAGACATGGTTTGAATAACGAATAAGAGACCACATCTCTCCAGAGCAACCCTTCAGGGCCCTGATTCTGCCCATGGAGGGTGGGCAGGTGGTGTATGAGAAAACTGAGAACCAGAGATGTAAAATTGCTTGCTTTCTTGGGCCACACTGTAGAGCTAGACCGGCATCCAGAGCTCCCAATGCCCACACAAAGCTCTAAATTGCAAAGAGCACACACACTGATTATTATTTCTGTAATTATTATCAGTATTTGTGCTGGATTATAATTCATTGGCAAGCAGGGACTATATGCACATAAAGTTATCTGCAATGAATTCAGCATAGTAAACTTGCAAAAAAAAAAAAGGTGTGGTAAAAGCTTTTGGATAATGATGATGACTTTGGTATCAAGAATTAACCTGTCCCAGCCAGGCGCAGCGGCTTACACCTGTAATCCCAGTACTTTGGGAGGTCGAGGCAGGCAGATCACTTGAGGTCAGGAGTTCGAGACCAGCCTGGCCAACATGAGGAAACCCTATCTCTACTAAAAATACAAACAGTAGCCGGGCATGGTGGTGCACACCTGTAGTCCCAGCTACTTGAGGCACGAGAATCACTTGAACCCAAGAGGCAGAGGTTGCAGTGAGCCAAGATTGCACCACTGCACTCCAGCCTGGGCGACAGAGTGAGACTCTGTCTCAAAGTAAAAATAATTAACCTGTCCCAAAGGACAAATGAACATCTGTCAGGTGACTGGAGGCCTATCCCGCAACTTTTTGCATATTCCTAGAGACAGCTGAGCCCAGTAGTTCATTGCCTTGGGAATTCTGACTAGTAACCTGGTAACCCATGACCTTGCCCAGCTGGCTTTGTGAGGGTCAGAGAGGTCTCCAAACTTTCTGCCCTACAGCCTTGGGTTTTTTGATTCTTGGAATCCCTCACCCTCTGAGCCCCTTACTGCAGATAGGACCTTCTCATTCCCCATACCTGGATGAAGTTCCCTTCATATTCAAAGAAAAGCAGTGGCCATGTGATGCTGATGATGGAGGGAAAGAGCTTCTTCAGAGGGATCTGGAGAGAGAGAAAGAGGAGCAGGAGAGGCATCTCCAGGAAGGCCTGGCTGCAACTGCCACCTGGGTCCCTTTGTCACGGCTGGACTCTCACCAGCAAGGTCTGACCCACGGTGCTGTGTGCCAGGGCCTGGATGTGGTTGGTCTTCTCTTTCACCTGCTCCACTATAGTCTGCACCTCCGTGAGGTTGTCTAGGAGAAGGGGAGGGCATCAGAGTCGAAAGGCTGGCTGTGCAGCTGTTCCTCCTGCTCCCCTGGCTGGGGTCCAGTCAGGATATTCACCCCGTCCCTCCCTCTGAGCAGGTACCCTAAGACCCAGAAAAACAACAGCTCCTCTGAACCATTCTATTTCCCCCTCCCCACCCCTCACCACTCCCATCTTCCCTCTCACCATCCAGGGTGAAAATGAAGACCACAGTATCGATTTCCGTGAGAGAGGGAAGGATGGAAGTCAGGAAGTCCTCCTGGGAGAAGGTGAACTGGGGACCCTGGGGCAGAAGAAGATGGGAGGGTCCCTCCCATGAAAACACTCTAAAGCACAGACTTGAGGACTAAAGGGGGCCGTGGAGGAGATCTAACACTTTTGTGCACAGGTGAAAGAGCTGAAGTTCAAAAGGTACAGTGTTTTGCCCAAGATTATGTAACAAGTCAGTGGACTAGGGCCAAGTTTGGGGACTGGATCTAGAGCTTTCCACACTGCCCATGCTAAGCCAAAGCCTCATGACTTCTGACCCATATTCTCTTCTCTGGACCGTCTATTCCAATGAACTTCCCACCTAGCTCCGCCTTCCCCTTTTCTTCCACCCTCAGCACACTAGTGGTCTCCCCAGCTTCCCCAAGTCCTGTTCTTCTCCGACCTGGTTGGTGAGCTCAGCCTTCTGGTTAAACATGTCACTGTGATCACCAATGAGAAAGCCACGGACATCTCGGAAATCTGGGAAGTTTAAGAACAAGGAGAGAGGAGTGATTGGCTATATAGGAAAGGAAGGTTCTAGGCTTCAGGGGGAGAAAATGGGACTGGGAGGAAAAGTGGCAAGTGGGGCGTAGAGTGAGGAGTAGCCCTTGTGGGAGGCCATAGTTAAGCACAGGGGTGGGAGCTGAGAAGGGATCAAGGACTGAGTTGGGGTTCTAAGGAAGAAGAATTTGACTGAAGTGCCTATTTAGATAGGGAAGGTGGGACACTGAGGAACACCCATGGGTTGGGAGTAGGACAGTGTTTGGAGAGCAGCCCGAATGGTTGGGATCAGGAGGAAGCAGGAAGAACATCTGGACTGGGGTCCCACCAGCACCAAAGGTGTGGATGCACTCTACTCCATCCATGATGGCAATGATGCCCAGGGTCTGCCAGCCAACCAGGTACACGTGGCCTTTCTTCTCCAGACTGAGAATGGGTCAGAGGTCAGGACATGAGAGATCACCGTGCAAAGAGGCCAGAGATGTCCACAGAAGAACACAGGAGTCAACAAACCATGACCCTTCAACATGCAATCCTATCGCCCATACCGTGTTAACATGTCTCACAGAGTCTCCCTGCTCTCAGTATTCTCCATCCGGGCCACATCCTCACCTCTAAACACATATCCACACACCTGGTGCTGACACTCTTCATCAGGGTGGCAATCTTGGGGCTTTGGCTGTAGGTCACCTGATGAGCTCGCTCAAATGTCCGCAAGATTTCCAGGAGGCATCTGGGAGAAAAGCCACCAGCTCTCAAGAAGGGCCCAATTCCCCCTCAGAAAGCTTAGGTGCCTCCCTGAGCGGGGAGGTGAAGGCACAGCTCCCTTAGAACTAAATTCTGCTGGTCCCTGGAGAGGTGCAGAGAGTAGGCCCAGACTGCGTTCCGAAGGGGCAGCAAGGGCTTCTTCAATGGGCAGAAAACAAAAGAGCAGAAAGAGGGACGAGTGCAGCAGGAAAGCACCAGGAGGAGCAGGATCTGAGAGCCACTGGGAAGGGGCATGAGCAGCCTAGGAGTGAGGCTAGAGACCCTGGAGAGGGAGGCAGGTCCAGAGTAGGATAAGCTCTACCTGCATGGCCTGGACCACCCCCAAATCAAAGGACCCTAGGGAGCCAGGCTAGCTTTGGAGGCCCCAGGCAGGCTCAGGGATTAGGTCTGGGCCTGAGGAATCCAGGATCCACTGGAAACAATTCGGACTCTGCAACTATGAGGTGGGAGCAACAGCATGTACTACCCAGCTCCCTTCCCAGGGGAGGCGTGGTGGGCTGCAGTCTTACTGCCACCAGCCCAGTCCTTGGATCTAGACCTGCCAATCTCCATCCACACCATCTCACACTCGCCTGACTCTGAGCTCTCTCTTATCCAGATCCTCCCTACCTTTGAGATGCTGCAATGCCCTGGTCCACAGTCTTATGGGCTGCTAATAACAGGGTTTCCAGCAGAATCTTGGTGGCACTTCCACCTTTCATCCGGGAGGAGCCGCTGAGACCCTCGGGCTGAAGAGGTGAAGACACCCAAGAGGAATTGGGAGAGGATGAAGACCCCGTAGACCACTTGTTAGTAACCCCCGGGCATGCATGTGATAGTACCAGTGGCCCCCAGTGTGCTTGTGAGGAAGGGTGCTGGGGTGGGCTTGACCGAGAGGAAGATTAGAAAGAGGGGAAGGGCCTCCTCTGATCACTCCTAGGTATACTCAGGACTTTCTGGAGAGGAAGTCAGAGTGATTGGGTCTCTTGTCAGCTGGGTCAAGGGTTTTTCAGAGTGCTTTTCTTTTCTTTGTTTTCTTTTTTTTTCTTTTTTTTTTTTTTTTGAGATGGAGTCTTGCTCTGTCACCCTGTCACCCAGGCTGGAGTGCAGTGGCAGGATCTCGGCTCACTGCAAGCTCTGCCTCCTGGGTTCACGCCATTCTCCTGCCTCAGCCTCCCAAATAGCTGGGACTACAGGCGCCCGCCACCATGCCCGGCTAATTTTTTGTATCTTTAGTAGAGATGGGGTTTCACCGTGTTAGCCAGGATGGTCTCGATCTCCTGACCTCGTGATTCGCCCACCTCGGCCTCCCAAAGTGCTTTTTTTTTTTTTTTTTTTTTTGAGATGGAGTCTCACTCTGCCACCCAGGCTGGAGTGCAGTGGCACGATCTTGGATCACTGCAACCTCTACCTCCCAAATTCAAGCGATTCTCCTGCCTCAGCCTCCCAAGTAGCTGGGATTACAGGCACCTGCCACCACGCCCGGCTAATTTTTGTATTTTTGGTAGAGACGTGGTTTCACCATGTTAGCCAAGCTGGTCTTGAACTCCTGACCTCAAGTCATCTGCCCGCCTTGGCCTCCCAAATGCTGGGATTACAGGCGTGAGCCACTACACCCAGACCAGAGAGTGTGTTTCTTTCCAAGAAATTTCTCCCCCACTTCCACCATTTTCTGTGGTAGTTTATCAATCCAAATACCACATGTCATATGCTTTGGACAGACCAATGAAGAAGTGATTGCAGCAGTCCAGATGTGGCACACAGCACACCAGACAGACAAAGAGGCTACAGCAAACAGAATGATAACAGTAGTGACTGAGGCTGGGTGCGGTGGCTCACGCCTGTAATCCCAGCACTTTGGGAGGCCGAGGCGGGCGGATCACCTGAGGTCAGGAGTTCGAGACCAGCCTGGCCAACAGGCTGTCTATTAAAAATACAAAAATTAGCCAGATGTGGTGGCAGGCACCTGTAATCCCAGCTACTCCGCAGACTGAGGCAGGAAAATCGCTTGAACTAGGGGAGCAGAGGTTGCAGTGAGCCAAGATCAGGCCATTGCATTCCAGCCTGGGTGACAAGAGCAAGATTTCGTCTCAAAAAAAAAAAAAAAAGTAGTGACTGAGAAAAGAAGATTGAAAGCCATTGAAAGTCAACATTTGCAGGGAGGAGGAAAGACAGATGAGCATTTAGGAGGTGAAAGCCGTGGAATTCTTATGTCATATGGAATTCTACCTTCTTATCTCACAAAAGGAAGATGGAGGAGAATGTCGCAGATGGTGTGCCCACCACTGGTAGAGGGAGGCACGGGCTGGAATTTGGCTAAGGCCCTCGTAAGGCCCAAGTAAGGAGAAATGGTGCTAGTGAAATGTATCTGCAATCCAGATGAGAAAAAAAGGAACAAGAGAAAACAGCTTTCAACCTAAGAAGGGCCACCCAATTTTGGAGAGGATTTAGAAAGGCAGAAGAATGAAACAAAACTGCACCCCATTTTTTAAAGCCCATATTTAAAATGTAAATATGTGAGAGAGACAGACTGAAACATAACAATGGCTATTCAACGCTCTCTATACATAGATGGCAAAGAGCTTCTTTAAATAGAAACTGTCCCAGACCGCTGAAGTGTTTAAGGCTTACCAATTTGAGAGAGAGGGTTGGAATGAAGACGAAATATCTTAAGGTGAAAATGTAAATGGGAAAATAGGATTTGGTTTATAACATTTTAGCTGACTCACAATACCTCAGGAATTTAAACAAGATATAATAGAACCTAAAATCAGAGGCCCCAAGGAAGTGGCAAGCAGTTCCCAGGTGTTGGAGGGGTGGAGAACATAGAAAAAGGAGAGGCCCTACCCCGATGGCAGGATTGAGCACAAAAGCTTTCTGTTTCTCCTGCATTTTCTGCATCCGCTCTGCTACTTGTCGGAATGTTGAACTCCAGTCTTCAATGGGGTCATTTCTGAGGTCCAGAGAGACACAAGGTGGGGAGATTGTCTATGAGGATCTCAAAGAAGGGCCTCAGCTGGGAGTCATGATCAAAGACTGCATTGGGATTGAGGTCAGAGGTCAACAACTTCATACAGACATATGCTTTGGAACTTTTAGAGGCACTGTGTCCCCGAACCCCAAGGACAGGGGTTAATAAAACATGCAGCACCTCAAGCCCAGAGCAAAGCCAACACTCAAGTTTAAAGTCCCAGCCTGAGACCCAAACTATCTTGTGTCCTGCTCCTTGCATAAGCCCCAATGCCATGGCTATACTAATGTCACTCTCTGCAGGTCCTTTAGGGAAGGCCTGTTATTCAAATGTCAAAATTGTCACCTTATTTTCCATCTTAGGGTCCATCAGAAGCCCTTCCCATTTGTGGGAATACATTCTGGAAATCCCTCCAAAGAGTGAACCCTCAGTACCAGAGGGAGGGATAACAGTGAGGGAACCAAGCTTCAAGGTAGCACCTCACAGTTGTTGAACATTCCTTGAGTAAATTAATTGGGAACAAATAAATGTGTTCATGAGGCAAGAGAGCTACAGACTTGTTATCTGCTTAGTTACAAATCACGGAATCTCAAAGAATGACGATCTTCTTTAGTTGATTTCTAATGGCTTTGCTAGGGGATAATTTGTGAATCGCCCACTGTGGCAGGACCTCAAAGAGTTAGTTACTTCTGTACATGGCACCCCTAATTTCACCTTATCATCCCATCCTGCAAAGGTTCCCTCCCTTCTTGAACTATTTTTGTATTTTTTTTCTTCTGTATTACTTCTAGGGCAGACAAGTTTCACATATTTCATGCCCGTTGTATAAAATGTCTCCTGTCATTCTTCCTCAAACTATTTCTGAAACTTCCTAGAGTCCTAAGAAAGAGGAGACTAAAGCAGAGAGGGTTCATATCGTATGGTTTAACGTCGAGATTCCTAAACACAGCTGGGCATCCAAATCATCTGGGGAGTTTTGTTTTTTAATAACTACCCATTTCTGGGTACCAAGTCCACCCTAAGATTCAGATTCAGTAGTTCTGGAGTGGAGCCCAAAAATCTGTATTTTAAAAAAGCTTCCCAGATGACTCTGAAAATCAGCCAAGTTTGGGAGCCACTGATTTAAGGAACAACTGGAAGATCTCCACGCCTACGTTGTTTGAAATTCTTCATTTCACTTAGTCATAGGGCCTGAAATTAGCATCCACTGCAGCAGATACATTTTTGGTGAAGGAGAGCCCTCCATGAAAAGGATCAGGGTTAGGAGTATTTCAGATTCATTTACACCTTCGCATAAATTATACTACCGCCTAGAATCTGGAAGGTGAAAAAGCACCTTGGAAAAACCCACTTGTCCCCCTTCCCAAGACCACCGCTAAATACAAAAAGCTGCTCTAAAATAATCAACAAGCCTTTGCCGCATCCCTCTGGTGTCAGGAAGCCCTCAGCTTTGTCAGGTGGCCCACTCCAATGGTTTATTTAGCAGAGTTCCCCAAACCTGGCTGTGCATCAGAATCTCCAGGGTTGCTTTCAAAAAATAGATATTTCAGGGCCTTACTCCAAACCTACAAAATCAGACCTCTTACACAAGGAACTAAGAATCTTCTTTATTTTTTTGTAACATTCCCCAGGCAGCTCATGCACAGAACCACATCTGAGCACTACTGGTTTAATATGTTGATTTATTCTGAAATAAGAGTGACCACTGACATAGAGAATAAGAGGGAGGTGATTTGGTAATGAGGGGCTCTCAGGGAAGGGAAGACAGTGAGAGATCTGAGGATCCTCGGGGGAGGAAAGGGGTGCCTGGAATGATGAGAGAGAATGGGCACTAAATAAGGGAACTGGACAAAGAGGAGTAGGAGGCCATCTGGCACCCACTACTACTACTTTGAAAAGGTGCTTGGGGCTCACCCCCATATGAAAGCACAAATCTTTATGGTATGCATCTTCCTGACCCCATTTTATCCTCCATTTTATTCCTTGTTTCTCTTGCCTCTTCAATCCCTGTTTTGAATGTATGCTATCTTATATTTTATGCATCCTTTATAAGCTGCCTTTAATGCTTTCTGAAACAAGAAGAGAATAATTCAACCAACCAACAAACAAAAAACCTTATAAGCTTAGGGGCACCCCATATTTACTTTAATATTCTGAGATTTGGTGAACAAGACTATCTGTTCTCTCCCTTGTGGTTGTACTGTAGACTTTGACATGTTCCCCTCCAGCCTGCCCCAGGGCTGCCCAGTCATTCCAGAAGGCTCACCTGGCCATGCTCACTGGATTGAAGCCAACCAGGACTGGCAAGAAGACAGCTGTGTTGTTCATGCAGCAGTCCATCTGGCCTGCCACAAAGGGAGCCTGATGGTGAAGAGAGAGAAGGGCATGATGAGGGGGTCATTACTCTGAGTGGTGCCCAAGGCTCAAGTGCATCAGAACCCTTCAGAATGCTTGTTCAAAATGCAGATTCCCAGGTACAGTTACAATCTACTGGATCCAAATTTGAAGGGGGAGCACGTTTTTAACAAGTACCTCAAGGGCACTACATTTTTAACAAGTTCTCCAAGGAAATCTTCTGCACGGTAAAGTTGGAATACTACTGAACTAAAATCGTAAACTCTTTGAAGTCAATATCCTCTTCTCTTTGTGTGCTTCCTTCCATATATAACACTGGTGGGATCTAGTTTCTGCGAAGTGAATTCTTAGAGCCAGAGAGCTGCAGAATTGAGAGGAAACTTGGAGTCATCTGGCTCAGTGCTTCTCAAACTACCTGGAAATCTTGTTAAAATGCTCAGTAGGTCCAGAGTGGGGCCTGAGATTTTGCATTTCTAACAAGTCCCAGGTGACACTGATGTTGCTGGTGCAGGCACCACATTTTAAGTAGCAAGAGACTAGTCCAGGGGCCATATTTTTCTGTAAAAGGCCAGATACTAAATACTTTAGGGTTTGTGGGCCCTATGGTCTCTGTCCAACTACTCAACCCTATGGCTATAGCATAAAAGAGGCCTTAGACCATATGTAAACAAAAATGGCTGTGTTCCAATAACTTTATTTTAGGGGCTGGACATGGTGACTCATGCCTGTAATCCCAGCAATTTGGGAGGCCAAGGTGGGCAGATCACTTGAGGTCAGGAGTTCAAGACTAGCCTGGCCAACATGGCATTCCTCATGTCGGTGAGCATCCTGGTCCCCAGTTTTCTTTTTTAGTAGAAACCCTGTCTCTACTGAAAATACAAAATCAGCCAGGCATGGTGGCATGTGCCTATAATTCCAGTTACTCGGGAGGCTGAGGCAGGAGAATCGCTTGAACCTGGGAGGAGGAGGCTGCAGTTAGCCAAGATTATGCCACTGCACTCCAGCCTGGGAGACAGAGGGAGACTCTCAAAAACAACAACGACAACCAAAACAAAAACAAAAACTAACCTTTATTTTAGGGCCAGGTGCAGTGGCTCACTCCTGTAATCCCAGCACTTTGAGAGGCTGAGCGAGGCAGGTGGAGCACCTGATGTCAGGAGTTCGAGACCAGCCTGGCCAACATGGTGAAACTCTGTCTCTACTAAAAATGCAAAAATTAGCCGGGCATTGTGGTGGGCGCTTGTGATCCCAGCTTTTCGGGAGGCTGAGGCAGGAGAATCGCTTGAACCTGGGAGGTGGAGTTTACAGTGAGCCGAAATCATGCCATTGCACTCCAGCCTGGGTGACAGAGCGAGACTCCATCTCAAAAACAAACAAACAACAACAACAAAAAACTTTAAAAACAGGCAGCTGGCTGCATTGGCCAGCCAGTATATTTTGCTTACCCCTGGACTAGTCCACCTATCTTGGTTGTTGATTGATTGATACACAGTTATTCTGAAATAGAATCCCTTCCCCATCTTCCCACATTCACACAACTTGATCCAAGTTAGTGAAACTAAAACCAAAATTCCTTGAGCAAACTTCCTGCCTTCTAGCACCGATCTCATTGATCTATCTTCCATGCTATTCCATTCCCACTCACTTCCTCTCTCTAAAATTGATCCACTCAACCCATCTTTTTACTCACAGAGAGTCCCACAGAAATGCCAATGACAATCACTCTCTTCTTCCCGGCAGCCACCTAGGAGAGGAGGATGGACAAGGTAGTGTAACTGGGAGGATTCCAGGGCACAAATCTACTGTGTGAGGATATCAGGGCCAGGAACAGGGGAGGGAGGAAATAGGCTTTGGCTGAATGCTGGGGCTTTTATGTCCCCATGAGAAGGAACAGATAGAGGTCTCTGGTCAATGTCAGTGAAAAGCACAGACCTTCTTCAGTTCCTCAATCCCGTGCAAGGCACTATCTTCTGTCCCCTCCCTAGAGGCCACCACAGACCTAAGAGGACAGACTCAAGGTCAGTGGCAGTGGCTGGAAAGCAGAAGCCTATGGCGTATTAGGGCAGGCTACATTAAGAGATGCGCATAAAGGGAAAACTATCATTGAATGAGCACCCACAGTTTGTTGGTGCATGATAGACACTCCATAGAGTTGAAAAACTCAAATACCTACAACAGCCAGTCAGGCGACATAAGTATGTGAAGTGGGCCAAGTGTGAGGGAATAAGGAATGGTGAGGACTAAGACAAGCCAGACACAATCTCTGTCTAAAGGTATTCCAACTCAATTTCTAAGAAATACTATTTAGGTCAAACAAAATATTCATAGGCTAACTTGGCTTACCTGTCACCACCTGCAATGAGGTAGGTGTAAAGAGGTTTCTGTCCCAGACCTTTCATCAGCTGATTAAAGGACACCTGTCAAGCAGGGAGAGGATGTAAAGAGGTAATGACAGAGAAGAAACAATTATCTTGGATTTTCAACTCCTAGAGGGCAGAGACTATATAATGATTCTCTTAGACCAGTGCTTAACCCAGTCCTACATGGAATCTCGCACTTAAAGCTGCTACTTGGAGATGATTAGTCGGTGGTGCATGGGATGTAGAGACATTGGCAACATACTGGCGGGACTCAGATGGGCTCAGAAGAAATGGGACTTCATGGTGACATCTAGCTTTTGGAAGAGAGAAAGAGCCAGGCTTGGAGTCCAGGTCTAGTGAGGGGGCCACCTGGGAGCTTAGTTATGATGATCTTTATGGTCCTGAGGGTCACCTCCAGAAGTGGAGGGGGAAGAAAACTGGAGACCAGGGTGCTCACCGACATGAGGAATGCCATCCGGCCAGAGGTGCCCCCTCCACTCAGCACAACCAGCCCCCCATCTGGCTCCTGAAGAAGGAAAGAGGCATATATTACCAGGGCCTGGCTCAGGTTGGGAGAAGAATATTCTTTTCTTTGTCAGTAATGCAAGAGGAATTGGAAAGACTCCTTATCCCTCCTCTCATCACAAAATTGAACAAATACATGCAATGTAGTGTAGCAAAAAGAACATTGGATTAGAGAAACCAGTTTGACTCCCATGTCTTGCTCCACTACTTGTTCAAATCCTTACTTCTCCCAGAAAGAACTGAAAGCAGCTTTGTCATCTAAATAAAAGTAAATAATAAAAGCAGCATTATCCAGCAATTATTAGCTCAGTGTATTTGAGCAAGCTACAGTGATTATCCTTTCTAAATCTTTGTTTTTTCATCTGAGGAAAACAAACAGAAGTCATATCAACTTCACAGGCTTTTGTGAGGGTAATAGGTGTGAAAGTAGATTGTCAATTATAAAGTATTAAGCAGAGAAGTTATCATTATTATTTATTAATAAGATGAAAATAAGGATCCAAAAGGGAGGATCTCCAAAAGGGAGAAAGGAGAATGAGATCTATCAAAGTGAGAAATAGAGACAGTAAAAAGAGAAAGAGGGAAACAGAAAAGTTTAGGCAGGGAACAGAAGGAAGGTTAGTACCTTCAGCACTTCCTGAACTTTCCCAGCCACCTGTACCATGGTGGTCAGAATGGATTCGCTGTAGAGTCTCTGTAGGGAATATGCAGGAATGAGAAGCCAAGAAAAGGAGGACGATGAATGGGGGAGGGGGTCTCAGGGTTTCCGATATTAGGAGCCATGGTGAGGGAGAGCAGAGGTGGGGTTGGGGTTGGCATGTTTATTTCCAGGGTCCAGGTCTTGGGTCTTGGTTACCTGGTATGTGGACAGGGCTTGCCCCTCCTCCTGGAAGATCTCAGCATCACATTGCCCTAGCAGTCGAACAATGTTCTCAGCATCTGCTTTGTCTAGATCCTGGGTCAGTGGGTTTGACTTCTCCGTGATTGGCACAGCTGCCTCGTACCCAGACAACTAGAAGGAAGAGGGGACAAGGATGGAGCAGGAAGCCAAAGCCTCATTCATGCCTGCTGAGCTGGAGGTGGGAGTGGCAGCAGGCACAGAGTTTGGACTTACACACACGCACACACATACCACACCAGAAACTCAGCCTGCACTTGGTGCTCTGGGCATATTAGGGAAAGAACATCAGGAAGGAAGAAGAGGTGAGCAGAAACCAGCGGGGAGGGAAGACTGGATGAAAAATAATTCTAGGAATCAGCACAGAAAGCCAACATGAAGAAGGGGTCTCACCTCCCACTTGCCAGGCTCCGGGGTCTCAATGACATGTTGAAACCGTTTTGTGCCTGGCATGGTCCCACGCTGTGGATACACTGTTCCTCCTGCCTCTTCAGCCACACAAACCCCTCTGGTCACAATGACTCTGCTTCCAGTTGGCAGGGCCTTATCTGAGCCCCAGTGATGATTAACCCAAGCACCCTGGGCTCTCAGAGCACCACCCTTTCCTGGTCACTAGGCCCCCAGCCCTCTGGTAACCCCAGGGAAACTCCTGGGCTTCCTCTTTGCAAGCACCCTGACTCGCCAGCCTCTGCTTTGGCCCCTGAAGAGGAAGACCTGAGGCTCGGGACTCTTGCCCTACCGGGACAATGCCCTCTTCTACAGAGGACCTGGAGCCTGGGAGTGCAGGACAACACCCACGGCAGTGAGAATCCCTGGGCAAGTGTCCTCCGAGGCCAGAGATCAGGGTCACCAAGTCAGCACAAGTCAGAGGACCTGGCCCATGGCTTGATCACATGCTCAGCACACACAGTCAGTCCCACTGGTCCCATTTTATCCTCTCCTCTCAGAAAGGAAGGCAGTAGAAGCTTCTGAGCCCCAAGTGTGCACACACTGTACTGGATATTACAGCGGGAAAAATCCCACAGAAACAGAAATACTGCATTGAGAATTAGAAACCAAAGAATCTGCCCTAAATACAATGTTAGCCAACATTTATTTACACTGAACAACACACTTTTCACAGACAGTATCTCATTGGATACACCAACACTAAGATGTTGGTCAATATTGACACCCTCATTTTTCAGATGATGAAACAGGCTCAGAGTAGTTTAGTTGGTTGCTTAAGATCACACAGCTGGACAAATTGGGACTCACACCCAGGTTCTCAATTCAGATTTCAAGCTCAACCAAAGCATGATATAATGTAAGGGCTTACATGTTATTGAACAAAGAAGTAACTAACAGATTGGTGCAAATTAATCTCCATCATCCAGTCACATAGTGTTGTGAGATTTATAAAGATCTTTCCCGTCTCATTTGAGCCTCACAACAACCCTGTGAGATTTCACACGCTTTGCTTTACAGGTGGGAAACCTGAAGCACAGATAAACCAGTTTCTCCAAAACCACACCGTAAGTGGTAGAGCTTTAGAAAAACAAAAAAAGAAAAGAAAGGAATAATAATTTTTTTAAAAAAGCCATAGGTCTTTGCGCTTTGATTCTCCCGAGAAGCCCAACACTCTTAACAATCACTGTATCTCCAGGTTTTAATATAATGCCAGACACATAGGAGATGCTCAATAAATATTTGGTGAATAAATGAAAGAATGAATGAGAAAGCGAACGGAATTAAATGAGATTATGAATGGAAAAGAGACTTAAAAGCTGACGCAGTCTACAAGTAAGGGATTGTTAAAGCAATTATTATCTCCCTCACTCTCTCCCCTCTCCTGTTAGCCCCTCGGGCACTGGAGGTGGAATTCCTCTTCCCAACTTGGCTCTTCCACGCGGGGAGGAAGGGGATCTCCCAGGTGCCGGAGACCCTAGCACCCGCGTCTCACCCCCCACGCCCCCGCCGACTCGTCCGCTTCAGCTGGGAGAGAGAAGGGATAAGGGATGGGGGCTCCGGAGGCGCCATTGGGAGGGTCGTGGGAGGAGCCCCGAGAGGACGGGAGTGAGGGGGCGGGAGGGGAATGACGGCGGCGAGAACCCCGGCTGGGCGGGGCGGGCCCGCGCGTCCCGGCCGGGCTGCGGCGGAGCGAGCGGGGCCAGCGCTGCAGAAGGCGGCGGCTGGCTCTCCGGGACGGTCACATCCCGCTGCAGGGGCGGGCGGAGGCCGCCGCACTGCCTCCCGCACCGGGGACCCAGGCCAGCGTCCGGGCAACGCCCCCTGCTCCCGGACAGACTCCGTGGCCCGCTCGAGCCCTGGGGGCTCCGCAGACCCGCGCCCGCTCCGCCCGCAGCTCGGCCCCGCGCTGCCCGCGTCGCCGGGCCCGCGCCGGGATGGGGTAGGGGCAGCGCCACCGAGTCGGGCGATGGGCCGCCCTCTGGGCACCGAGCAGCCCCCCGAGGCCTGACCAACCGCGAGGACCGGCGGAGGTGGGTGTGGGCAGGGCGGACCGCACTCTGGGGCCGCCCGGGCAATGCGGGGGCGGGAGGGCGTAGAGAAAATAGGGCTGTTGTGAGCTGTGGGGAGCCCAGGAGAGCTGCTGCCCCCCGACCTCCGTGCGTTCTGGGCAGTCCTTGACCCCCCACAACTCCTGCCATCTCCAGGAGCCCCGCCTGGATGTCAAGCGGATGCCAAGCGGATGCCACAGTTCCCCCCCCAGCGGACTCCGTGGGGACATGGCTTCGCTGGTGCCCCTTTCCCCATATCTAAGCCCCACGGTCCTCCTGCTGGTCAGCTGTGACCTGGGCTTCGTGCGAGCAGGTAAGTAAAGGGGAACGGGGCTGAGGGTCAACCACAGCTAGTCAATGGGTGAAACCTGTTAAACACCCTGGCTCCCGCAGACCGGCCTCCCTCTCCTGTGAATGTGACGGTCACTCACCTCAGAGCCAACTCGGCCACTGTGTCCTGGGACGTCCCAGAAGGCAACATCGTCATTGGCTACTCCATTTCCCAGCAAGTATGAATCACCCTTCTGCTCCCCCAACCTGTGTCCTTGGATTTCGGCACATTTCTTCACTTAAGTGGGGGGGATCTGGAAGCTGGCGTATCCTGGCTCAGGCTGCCCTTTTCACGCTACTCCCCCGGAGTGCTTGGATGTTGAAGAGTCTCTGGTTGAGCCTTGTGGCCTGGCACTGGGGTGAGGCTGTCCTCCTCTCCCCTCATCTCCCTGCAGCGGCAGAATGGCCCCGGGCAGCGTGTGATTCGGGAGGTGAACACCACCACCCGGGCCTGTGCCCTCTGGGGCCTGGCTGAAGACAGTGACTACACAGTGCAGGTCAGGAGCATCGGCCTTCGGGGAGAGAGTCCCCCAGGGCCCCGGGTGCACTTCCGAACTCTCAAGGGTTCTGACCGGCTACCTTCAAACAGTTCAAGCCCAGGTGAGGATCTGTGCTATTGGATTCTCTGGCTGCTTACCTGGCTTGCAGCCTCTTACTTACTTCCCCAAGACAAGCAACAGACTAGCTGAGTTGAATAGGATGATTTAATTCATTGTACTGCCAGGAAAGGAAAGAAAAGCAGGTGGGAAGGGGATTGGGTATAGACAGGCTGGTATTGAGTTGTTTGGGGGAAGGCCTTTTAAGCTTCCTGTTACCCAACTTCACATCAGCTGCAGCCTGCATGAGTGAGTAATTAACCTGCAGCCATCCCGCTTTTTGGTCGCTAACCACCTGTCCACCAACGGCTTCCTCCCAGGGAGGGGCTACCCTACACTCCAAGGGCAACATTATGATGGGTCCACCCTTTCTAATCCCCAGCATCTCCATCCTGCATGTCTGCAGTATGGACCCCAGTAACCTGGAGTCTGCCTTCTGCCTTCTCCCTTCTCAGGTGACATCACAGTGGAAGGTCTGGATGGAGAGCGGCCACTGCAGACTGGGGAAGTGGTCATCATTGTGGTGGTGTTGCTCATGTGGGCTGGTGAGTAAGCAGCTAGACAGGGGACCAGGGACTCAGTAAAGGTGTGAGGTGGCAAAGGTTGTCAGGAGAAAAAGAAGTGAGAGATACAGTGGCTCACGCCTGTAATCCCAGCACTTTGGGAGGCCAAGGCAGGCAGATCACCTGAGGTCAGGAGTTTGAGACCAGCCTGGCCAACATGGTGAAACCCGTCTCTACTAAAAATACAAAAATTAGCAGAGTGTGGTGGAGGGCGCCTGTAACCCCAGCTACTCAGGAGGCTGAGGCAGAAGAATTGCTTGAACTCAGGAGGTGGAAGTTGCAGTGAGCGAGCCGAGATCATGCCACTGCACTCCAGCCTGGGCAACAGAACGAGACTCTGTCTCAAAAAAAAAAAAAAAAAAAAAGTAAGAGAAATAGAGTGGAGTGGGGAGATACTTAGTTCAGGAGGGATGATTTGAACTTTGAAGAGAGGGAGAGGAGGCTGTTGAGAGCCCAGAGAGGAGGACTGCATGGGCACCAGGAATTCAGGATGTTCTTCATGGATTTTCTAGAAGCTACGTAGGTATCTCCCTATGAGGGGGGAAGTGGAGATGAAGGCTCAGACTGTATTGTGTTTCAGCTGTAATTGGGCTGTTCTGCCGTCAGTATGACATCATCAAGGACAATGACTCCAACAACAATCCCAAGGAGAAGGGAAAGGGGCCGGAACAGAGTCCTCAGGGAAGGCCAGTGGGGACAAGACAGGTGATGTGGGGGCCAGTGAGGGCGGAAAGGGTGATTCTGCCCCTGAGGGGCAGCCAGGGAAAGGAAGAAGGTCAAAGAGGGGCAGAAAAAGATGGAGAATGGAAGATCTGGGATGGGGGAGGCTGGAGAGAAAGGGTGGCACCTATTACCTTCCTGAAGTTGAGACTCAGGCCATTTTCTTTCACAGAAAAAGTCACCATCTATCAACACCATCGACGTTTGAGTGAAGAAACACACCCAGAAGAGAGATGCACTAACAACTGGGGATAGGGATGGGGTCAGGGGGAGCCCAAGATGGTGATCTGCCCGAGACTCCCAGAGGGTAATGCCACTCCCACAATCTCAGGCCTGGTACCCATCCTCTTTCCACTGTGAGCAGAGCCAGAAGGTAGGTCTGTTCAGAGTCTGTGCCCCTGGACCTGGGGAGTGGATATCAGATGGGATATCTCCTTCCATTCCCCGGTCCAGGGGAGAGTCACTAGTTGTACCCTACTCCATTAGGTCCCAAATGGGGGCCCCATTTCACCTGTATCAGGACTCTGAGCATCCCCAGCTGCCCCACATCTTGCCTCTGGCCCTCAGAGAGGGGTGTTTCTGTGGGTACTCCTCTTACCCCAGCAAATAAAAGGAATTGTCTGACCCTAGAGGCAGATGCTGCACTGCACTACTCCAATGTCTTCCATGGAGCCTCAGGTGCTCCCCCTCTCACCTGGCAGCCCCTTCAGCTGCTAGTGATATCACTTGTTGGACATTTTTCCAATAAAGGTTCTTGGACAAACTGGAGCTGACTGTATAGTATGCTGAAGACATTTCCTCACCTTGTCTCTCTCCTGACCCTCCAAGGGCCCCTTACACCATCACCTACTTGACAGGAGCATTGCAAGGTGTGATAATACCCCACCCTAGGATAGGGCCAGGAAGAAGAGGTATAGAAAACTAACCCCAGATTCTTTTGCTTTGTTGGGTGAGAAGGGGAAAAAGAGAAGAGAAAGATATAAGTTCCTGCACCACTGAATACTAATACATATCATATGAGAGGGTAGTAGCCTTTTTATCTTCACTGCTTGCATCGACAGCACAGCTCCTCACCACTTACTCTTCTGACTCCTCCATCAACCCTGGGCTAATGGTCAGAAAAGGACTAAGCAGTGTCTTGGGGACTAATGAAAGGACAGCTACACTCATGGATTCCTTGGTGCCACATGCTCCTATCCTATGTGTTCCTGTGTCTGTTCTTCCCTCTTTTGCATTCCCTTTCATCTCTGTCTCTGTTTAGTCAGTCAAAGTCAGTAATAACTGTAATTCATAAATGAGTTTATATTCATGCTCTGCCACCATATCCAGAGGAGGATTCTGAAAATAAAACTGAGGGGTTGGGACTCCCCTGTCAAAATAATTCTCATTTGAGCTCTGAGGCCTACTTGTTTCCTGTGAAAATAGGGGCTGTCCTCTGCTCTTTCCTATTTTCTAAGGGGTGGTTGGTGGCCATGAGACAAACACCTGTTGACACTTGCAAACCACTGTGGGGGAAGGCTTCTGGACCCACAGTCTGTCTGGAGAGCATATGTTACACTTCCTGGAGAGTTACAGATCTTCCCAACTTTGGATCATTTCAGAGCAGGCTTATGAATAACTCCTTTCTGCATTTCAATCTCTCTGGTATGTTAGAAGATAGGCCAAAAATTCTGAACGGGACTCCAAAGATCAACAAGTCAGTCTCTTTTCTACTTAACCAATCTCTAACCCCAGGTATCACAAGACAACCTATCGGGTGAGCCAAGTCAGGTCTGCCCTCAAAACTGAACCACAGGCCGAGAACGGTGGCTCACGCCTGTAATCCCAGCATTTTGGGAGGCCAAGGCGGGCAAATCACCTGAGGTCGGGAGTTTGAGACCAGCCTGACCAACATGGAGAAACCCTGTCTCTACTAAAAATACAAAATTGGTCGGGCGTGGTGGCACATGCCTGTAATCCCAGCTACTTGGGAGGCTGAGGCAGGAGAATCTCTTGAACCCGGGAGGCAGAGGTTGCAGTGAGCCAAGATCGCGCCATTGCAGTCCAGCCTGGGCAACAAGAGTGAAACTCTGTCTCAAAACAACAACAACAACAAACTGAACCATAAAAACATTCCAATGTAAACAGCAGTCTTTAACCCACCATTACCCAATTAGGAAGTAGGGTACCTTACGTTTCTTTGGCAGCTAGTTCCAAAACACTCATCTTCCAGATTCTGAGAATAAATGTCATTTATTGGGATGGGAATGTGACAGGTTATAGTATCGTGGCATGGAGAGAGCGAGCTAGGAGTTGAGAAGGAACATAAAAGCTGTTTAAAGCTACTAACTCTGGGTTGAACTCCAGTTCCAAGTCCTTCGCTGGCTGTGTTAGTTTGAGCAAGTGCCCTGAGTCTCCTGTTATGTAAAATGAGACTAATAATAACGCTATCCCCTTCAAAAGGTGGTTTTGGGATTAAATGATATAAATGCACGTACAATACTTTACACAGTACCTGGCAGACACATACTGAGTATTCATCGTTAGCTATCGTTATTAGCCTTGCGATCCCGTGCAAATCATGTAACCTATTTGGGTACAATTCCGTCAACTGCAGAAGGCCTATCATGGAAACCGCCCTGCTTCCCTCCAGAGTTGTGAGGATTAAGAGAGTGCACTCAGAAAGTCAGGTACATCGAAGAGCGAGACGGACCGCTATGACGTAGGACCTGGGGCTGGCTGAAGGCTTGTGGGCGGGGCTTGGTCTTGAGTTTGCATGCGGCGACGGGATTGGTCAAGGAGAACATTCATGAAGCCCTCTCAAGGGCCCGCCCTAGATCTCACCGCGCTTGCGCACGTTCTGTTTGCTTCGCCGCAAAGTTACGTGTGACCTTGCGACGCGTGTTGCGCTCCGGTCGCATAAGCGTCAGTGCCTGTCGCTGCGGCTGCGTGGCGGGTTGTCCAGGTAACCACGGGAGTTGTCGCTGTCTAGGAGCATCTGAAAGACAGGTGTGCGTCATGCACTTGAAGCACCTGAGGACCCTGCTGAGCCCTCAGGTGAGGAATTGCGTGCCAGTCCCTCCCCCTTATGCTTTATGTTCCAAGAAAAGTGGGGGAACTGAAGTTTAATGATGTTGACCTCCTACTGTGTGCAGAAGGCTGTAAGGGATATAGCGATGATCTGGATCTTGGCCTGTCGATACAGCGTCCAGGAGGCGAGATGCAGGGCTAAGGACTTGTAGCTTTCCTTACATTTCATTCACATCAGTTGTGTACAGGCCCCATGCTGGGGTTCGTAGGAATCCCAAACCACCCGACTTATGTCCCTCCCTTCAGGAGGCTCGTATTAGAGGGTGAGGTGCACATGTAAGCAGCGAGTATGCATGTGCCCATAATTAAATAAGCGCCTTAGGTGCAAGCCCTGAAGGGGGAGTGCAAAGACCGAACCGTGTATTCTGATTCAGGAGAGGCTGGGCACTAGGGGAGGAGCCCTGAAACATGGTGAAGAAAGGGTGGGCTTTGGAGTTAGCACACCAGAATTTAAGTCCTAGCTCCACCACTACTTTCTTATTTTCTTTTTAAAATTTCTTACCTTGTCCTTATTTCAGGTCAACCACTACTTTATTTAACTATTTGAGACAGAGTTTTGCTCTGTTGCCCAGGCTGGAGTGCAGTGGCTCGATCTCACTGCAACCTCCGCCTCCCGGGTTCAAGGGATTTTCCTGCCATAGCCTCCCAAGTAGCTGGGATTACAGACGTGCGCTAGCACGCCCGGGTAATTTTTTGTTTCTTTGTTTGTTTTTGTTTTTGTTTTTTGTAGAGACGAGGTTTCCCCATGTTGCCCAGACTGGCCACCAGTACTTTAAACAAATGACCTGATATCTCTAACTTTAGCCTTTATTATACAATGTCTCGGAGCACTCACCAACTTCTTCATTTGAAAAAACATGAGTACTAATAGCAACTTTAGGGGACTTGGGGAAGAGTTATATAGAGTAATATACACAAAAGAGCATTGTAAACTGAAAAGCAGTGTGAAAAATTGATAGACAAGAGGAAAGGACATTCAAAATTCAAAGGACAGAATAATACAAAGCTAATAAGAATAAGATGTCTGGCCAGGCCCAGTGGCTCACACCTGTAATCCCAGCAATTTGGGAGGCCAAGGTGGGAGGATCACTTGAGCCCAAGATTCCAAGACCTCTACAAAAAAATTTTGACCAGGTGCGGTGGCTCACACCTGTAATCCCTGTACTTTGGGAGGCCGAGGCGGGCGGATCACCTGAGGTCAGGAGTTCAAGTCCAGCCTGGCCAACATGGTGAAACCCCATCTCTACTAAAAATGCAAAAATTAGCCGGGCGTGGCAGCAGCCGCCTGTAATCCCAGCTACTCAGGAGGCTGAGGAAGGAGAATCGCTTGAACCCGGGAGGTGGAGGTTGCAGTGAGCCGAGATCGTGCCACTGCACTCCAGCCTGGGGGACAAGAGTGAGACTTTGTCCAAAAAAAAAAAATTTTTTTTAAATAGCCTCGTGTGGTGGCAAGCACCTGTAGGCCCAGCTGCTGGGGTCACTGAAGTGGGAGGATCTCCTGAGCCCAGGAGGTCGAGGCTGCAGTGAGACGTGATCACACCACTGCACTCCAGCCTGGGTGACAGAGTGAGGCTGTGTCTTAAAAATAAATAAGATGTTCCATAACTGAGTGTGTAATATGTACTGGGGTACCTTAATAAAGAAATTGGGATTATGGTTTATGGATTTACACATACATGGATTTAATCATGGTTCTAGGCCAGGCGCAGTGGTTCATGCCTGTAAACCAAGCTCTTTGGGAGGCCGAGGCAGGCAGATCACCCGAGGTCAGGGGTTCGACACCATCCTGGCCAACGTGGTGAAACTACTAAAAATACAAAAATTAGCTAGATGTGGTGGCGCATGCCTGTAATCCCAGCTACTCGGGAGGCTGAGGCAGGAGAATCGCTTGAACTCAGGAGGCAGAGTTGCAGTGAGTCAAGATCGCACCACTGCACTCCAGCCTGGGTGACAGAGCGAGACTCTGCCTCAAAAAATAAATTAATTAAATAAATAAATCATGGTCCTACCACTTACAAACTGTATATGTGAACTTGGGCAAATTACTTAATCTTTTTGGGCTTCCATTCATCTATCTGTAAAAGGGGGATAATAATAGCATCTACCTCAGTGTTATGAGGTAAAATGAGATTATGCTTGTCAAGCACTTATCAAAATGCCTATTCTATGGTAAGTACTTGTTAAAGGCAAGCTCTTATTATTTTATTCCCTACCTCACTTAATAAAAAAATCTAGTGAGGTACATATTGTAGAGAAAGGAGAATTAATTGATTATGGAAATCAGGAAGGCTTCACAGAGGGTGTGGCATTTGGACAATAGGAGGAAATGAGAACACAGGCCGGGCGTGGTGGCTCACGCCTGTAATCCCAGCACTTCAGGAGGCCAAGGTGAGTGGATCACTTGAGGTCAGGAGTTCAAGACCAGCCTGGGCAATACGGTGAAACCATGTCTCTACCAAAAATATAAAAAAATTAGCCAGGCATGGTAGCACACGCCTATAGCCTCAGCTACTTGGGAGGCTGAGGCAGGAGAATCGCTTGAGCCCAAGAAACAGAGGTTGCAGTGAACTGAGATTGTGACACTGCACTCCAGTCTGGGGGACAGAGTGAGACTCCGTCAAAAAAAAAAAAAGAAGGAAATTAGAACAAAGATAGTTGTGCTCTCTCCTCAGTTGGAGAAAAAAATAAAAAGACAGAGATTTGTGCTCATTGCTCAGCAAGCTGTCCATTGAATCTGTACTTTAAAAATTTCTCCGCCCTAATGGAAAAATTGGAAATGAAATCCTCCTTCAGTCTCTCAAAATAAGATGATGTCATGATGCAGGTAGGGCTGAATGCCCAGAATTGGGCAAAGCGATAAAGCAGGAGGATCAGCAAAGATTGATGAGGAGCCCTCAGGCCTTCTAACCTAATATAATGAAGAGTTAGAGGATCATAGTGATGGTGGTGTGGCTATTTTCTGGTTTGAGGATTTGCAGGAAAATAGACTTTTTACTTCTGACTTTGGAGATAGGTGAGTTTGGAGTGTAAAGTGTCAATGTTTGAAGCCAGAACTCTAGTGTCCAAATAATTAAACAATTGGGGCAGAAGAAAAGCAGAATAAAATGTTTTGTTTTCAAGGAAGGAAACCCTTAGTAGCAGAGCTAGTCCCTTAGGACCAGAGCTAGTGTTGGAAGGGTCAGATCTGGTCAGAATAATTCACCTGGAGATAACTTCTAACTTGGGTTTCTCTGAAGTGGGTAGTTAAGAAGAAAAGAAAGTGGGATTATTCGTCCTGAGTCTCAACTCGTACTCGCCCATCCTGAACTCTCACTGTCTCTCCCTTTCCTTTCAAATAAGCCCAAACTCCTTTGCCTGGCTTCAAAGACTTCCTGAGCTGGCCTGTTTTTCCTGCCTTACCCCGTCTATTCTACTATTTATAAGGTATAATAGTTTCAAATAAACTAAATTACTGTTTCTTGTCCAGAATTTGCCTTTGCTCATTGCCATTCCTCCCATCTCAGATAACTTCCTACTCAACTGCATTCATTCTTCAAAGCTTAATTTTGATAATTTAAGCATAAAATTCTCTCAGGCTTCTCCAAACTATTGTAGTACTTTATACATACTTTAATAGGACTTTTCTATTTTGCACCATCTTATTAGACGTGGAGGCAGGATCTATGGTTTGCTTTTTGTCTCTCTCTCAGCCCCTGGCCAAGTGCCTTGATCAATAAGGTGCTAAAAAAATATTAATTGAATGAATGGCTAATGACCAAAACTTACCAGACTAATTGAATTTATTTCAGTAGCAGACCTGGAAACGAGGAGGCCGTTGCAGGGATTCATTGATACAGTTGACTTAGCACCCTGCCTCTTAGTGCATTTGCATATGAGTCTCTAGAAGCCTGTTGTTCTCACAGTCCAGGATCTGAAGGCCTTGGAGACCAGCATGGGCCACAGGCATCTCTTTGTTTTGAGGATAGAACCGTGACAGGAAGAAAATTGACCAGTATTACACTAGAATTAATGAAGCTAGAAATGCTTTTGGCATTCTAGACCAGCACATGGGTTTGTTTTTACCCCTTTGCCTCTACAGGATGGAGCTGCAAAGGTGACCTGCATGGCTTGGTCCCAGAACAATGCCAAATTTGCTGTCTGCACAGTGGACCGAGTGGTCTTGCTGTATGATGAACATGGAGAACGGAGAGATAAATTCTCCACCAAACCAGCTGACATGAAGGTAAACAGTGTATTCATGTGTACCTTATTTAACCTATTGATGGGGTCTCACAACTTGAAAGACGTAGTCTGCCTTCTAGCCATCAGCATAGGAAATGGCATACCCCACCTTTTTCTCAGTATAAATCCTCAAGCTCCCTTAGGAGCACACATATGCCTTTTTTTCTCTTTTCTCTTTCATGTGTACTCATTACTTCTTTTTCTTTCTTTTTTTTTTTTTAAACTCTTAGTATGGCAGGAAGAGCTATATGGTGAAGGGCATGGCTTTTTCTCCTGATTCCACTAAAATTGCCATAGGACAGACTGACAACATCATCTATGTCTACAAGATTGGAGAAGATTGGTGAGGATAGAGACTGGGAGATGGGATGGCCCAGGAAAGAAGGGGAAGGCAAGAGAAATGCCTCACTGGGGAGGGGAAATACAGGGGATGAGAAGCCAAGCTTGGCCATTGAAGGCAGAGACTTTCTGGAGTCTGTTTTTGCTTTTCTGCCTTCACCTGTCCCACGTGTTCTTCAATCCCATCCCTGGAGGAAACAGTCCAAGGTCAACAGGAGGCCCTGTGAGATCCTGGAAGCCCAGAGTGATGTCACATCTTTGTTATTGTTCTGAAGCTGCTTAGGCTCCCTCATATACCTCCTTTCAGGGCTCCTACAGAGTAGTCAGAAATACTACTGGGCCAGGGAAGAAATCTGCTCTTTCTTCTCTTCCCTCAGCATCATTTTTGGCAATTTGTTTATGGAAGTGGTATTTATTTATTTATTTATTTTGAGATAGAGTCTCACTCTGTCACCCAGGCTGGAGTGCAGTGGCGCGATTGTGGCTCACTGCAAGCTCCTCCTCCCAGGTTCACGCAATTCTCCTGCCTCAGCCTCCCGAGTAGCTGGGACTACAGGCGCCCACCACCACACCCGGCTAATTTTTTGTATTTTTAGTAGAGACGGGGTTTCACTGTGTTAGCCAGGATGGTCTCGATCTCCTGACCTCATGATCCTCCCGCCTCGGCCTCCCAAAGTGCTGGGATTACAGGCATGAGCCACCACGCCCGGCCTGGAAGTGGTTTTTAATATGTTTCCCCTTCTTTTGTTTGGCAGGGGTGACAAGAAAGTCATCTGCAACAAGTTCATCCAGACGGTAAAGTTCAGACCAGTCCCTGGAACCTTAGGATGAACAAACATATATCAGTATATCTACTTATAAATACAGCCAGGAGTTGCATTTCTAACATCTGAATGTGACTTTTCCTACTGCAAGGATGGTGCTTCATGGCTGTTCATGGTCATCTGCTGTCTTCCTTAGAGCCCTGCTGTGTCCTTCCCTATAGGAGATTGAGGTGGTGGTGTGTGGTGGGGTGTTGAAGTTGTTATAAAAGTGCTGGCCCACACAGATGGGGTTATCCTTTTCATTGTTTCCTTCCACGCAGAGTGCTGTCACTTGTCTGCAATGGCCGGCAGAATACATCATTGTCTTTGGACTGGCTGAAGGGAAGGTAAAAGAGGGAAGGGAAACACAAGAGAGGGGGTGGTAGGGATAATGGTTCTGGAGAGAGGAATATGGTTCATCCTCTTTCTTAGGATCAAGTTGCGTACTGGGGAGAATGCATAGGGACCAGTTTTGTGGGACAGTTTTTCCTTTTTTTCTTAGGGCCTAGTTAAATATAAAATAGCCTAACCATACTTGTATCAATTTTTCCATTTTCAGGTTCGTTTAGCAAACACCAAAACTAATAAATCATCTACCATCTATGGGACAGAGTCTTACGTGGTGTCCCTGACAACAAAGTGAGTAAAGAGGAGTAGTATCACTAGAGTCTGGAAGTGTTAGGAAAATGCTGTGGGGAAGTCTGGACTGCAAGACCATAGTATGAAAGGCAGGAGAACTGGTAGCAGGAAGCACAGACAAGGTTGTGTTTGACAGAGAAAGGGGCTTTCTTGGTGAGATAAAATAGTCTCTTCCTGTATTTCTCTCCTTTCTCCTTTTTTAGTTGCTCTGGGAAAGGAATTCTCTCTGGTCATGCAGATGGTACCATCGTTAGGTATTTCTTTGATGATGAAGGCTCTGGAGAGTCACAGGTATGAATAAAGAATGTTGTGGGAGGCTTGGATTGCTTGAGTCCAGGAGTTTGAGACCAGCATGGGCAACACAGTGAAACCCTGTCTCTACCAAAAAAACAAAAAATAAATACAAAAATTAGTCGGGCATGGTGGCATGGGCCTGTAGTCCCAGCTACTCAGGAAGCCGAAGTGGAAAGATCACTTGAGCCCAGGAGGTTGAGCCTGCAAGTGAGCTGAAATAGCACCACTGCACTACAGCCTGGGTGACAGAACAAGACCGTGTCTCAAAAAAAAAAAAAAAAAAAGATGCTGTGGAATAGGGGATAAGGAAATTCCAGGAGCCCTCCTAGAGGAGGTTGGACTTCTAAGGCATTTGGATTGAGATACTAAGAGAGGAAGCTAGAGGAGAACTCAGGGACAGAGAAAAAGTTGGATGTGGCCACTGAGAGGATTTGTGTTTAGGAGCCTGGAGCTTACTGCTTATAAGAAGGGATGAATTAGGTGAAAGGGACCTTGAGACAAAGGGAAATAAAAACTCTTAGAGTAATGAAAAGTGAAAATTATTCCCATTTATGTAAAATATATATATTTATGTATGTAGATTCATAGAAAAAAGAGTTAATAGTTTACTCTGGAAAGGGGAAAGGAAAAAGATGGGGGATAAAAAGGAAACTTTCATGTTTTACTCTATATAATTGTGTGTTGTTTGAATCATTTACATTAAGAATTACTTGTGAGCCGTGCCTGTAATCCCAGCACTTTGGGAGGCCGAGGCGGGTGGATCACCTGAGGTCAGGAGTTGGAAACCAGCCTGACGTGAAACCCGTCTCTACTAAATACAAAAAAATTAGCTGGGCGTGGTGGCACATGCCTGTAATCCCAGCTTTCTGGGAGGCTGAGGCAGGAGAATCGCTTGAACCTGGGAGGCAGAGGTTGCAGTGAGCCAAGATCGCATGCCATTGAACTCCAGACTGGGCAACAAGAGTGAAATGCCATCTCAAAAAAAAAAAGAATTACTTGTATAGGCCGGGCACAGTGTCTCACTCCTGTAATCCCAGCACTTTGGGAGGTCAAGGCGGGTGGATGACCTGAGGTCAGGAGTTCAGGACCAGCCTGGCCAACATGGTGAAACCCCGTCTCTACTAAAAATATAAAAATTAGCCGGGCATGGTGGAACGTGCCCGGAATCCCAGCTACTCGGAAGGCTGAGGCAGGAGAATTGCTTGAACCCGGGAGGGGAGGTTGCAGTGAGGTGAGAACGCGCCACTGCACTGCAGCCCCGGCGACAGAGTGAGACTCCATCTAAAAAAAAAAAAAAAGAAGAATTATTCGTATAATACTGAAATTTGACCCTCCTTAAAAAAAGAAGCCCTATGCTCTTTGTGGGCCCAGACGGTGTTGGTTAATGTGTAGCACATCTCCTTTTCTGAGGAGCTTTACCAGGTGCATATTAAAAATTTCCAATACATGCTGGGCGTGGTGGCTCACGCCTGTGATCCCAGCACTTTGGGAGGCTGAGACGGGCTGATCACAAGGTCAGGAGTTCGAGACCAGCCTGACCAACATGGTGAAACCCCATCTCTACTAAAAACAGAAAAATTAGCCTGGTATGGTGGCACACACCTGTAATCCCAGCTACTCAGGAGGCTGAGACAGGAGAATCGCTTGAACCTGGGGAGGCGGAGGTTGCAGCGATGAGATTGTGCCACTGCACTCCAGCCTGGGCGGCAGAGTGAGACTCTGTCTCAAAAAAAAAAAAAAGAAAAAAGAAAATTCCAATATACAAGCATTTTGAGGTTTTTCTAGAGCACAAGGTCAACCCCTATGTGTATAGGGGTGTGTGTGTGTGTGTATGTGTGTGTGTGTGTGTGTGTGTGTGTGACAATTTGTGAAGAGTTCAGGATTAGGATGTGTTGGGATAGGGAAATGTTGGAAGAGATTTCTGCAGGGTATGATGGTCAGAGTGAATGTACCAGGTGTTGAGAGTGAGGAATTTCTCGGGTGGAGTCTTCGAAGAGTGATTGAAACCCTCTACTTCTGTCTTAGGGGAAGTTGGTTAACCACCCGTGTCCACCCTATGCCTTGGCATGGGCAACCAATAGCATCGTGGCTGCAGGCTGTGATCGGAAAATTGTAGCCTATGGAAAAGAAGGTCACATGCTACAAACTTTTGATTATAGCCGTGACCCTCAGGAGCGGGAGTTCACCACAGCTGTATCAAGTCCTGGGGGCCAGTCTGTTGTGCTAGGAAGTTATGACAGGTAAGTCCCCTTTCCAGTTTTATCTACTGCCTACTTTCCCTGCGAACACTCTCTGCTTTAGCCAAATTATTCTGAGCCAGAGTGCGAGACTGGAGCAGAATCAAATGTATGTATGTAATTCATGCGCTTTCCTCTTCCTGCTCCCGCTATCCATTGGTGTGCTGGCAGTTCCAAAATGTCCTGGGCTCTTGTTTTGTCTCTGTGCCGCTCCCTGCACTTCCACAGCAGAATTCATCTCTATTTTCTGTTTCCATTGCCCCCTTTGAGACCGCTTAGAGTTTCTCACATTATATTACAGTTTGTTGTTTGCAAACTACTGTTGTTTAGCCAGATAGATGGCTAAATCAGAGTCCTTGAGAAGGGGGCTTATTATTCATCTTTTCAGTGCCTAGATTAGCATCTATATGCTATATATATTTAAGATATGCTCAGATGTTTGGCGAATGAATGAATGAATGATGGAACAGCAGATAAACAGCCATGTTCCAGGTCTCATCATTTCTCTGGCATGTGTTTAACCCCAGCTTTATCAGTCCTGTCTTTCTATCCCCTTCAATCTTATGTCTCCTTGTATTCTCTTCTTTCTTCACTGACTCCTACCATTTATCTCCTTGTTCCATATTTTTTTGCTCCTAGTAGCTTATTTTTCTCACCTGCCCTGGTCTTTTTGTTTTCTCTGCTCCCCTCACTCTTATTCTGTTTTAGTTTTGCCTTGATTTTCCCAGCTTATTTCCTGTGCACCTTTATATCCTCTTCTGCTAGACTGCCTAGCTTGTCTGTTCTTTTTATTTCCTTTCTTTTCTGATATAGCAAGACTAATTTCCTTTGGTTATCAGCCCATTTGCACTCTTTAGCTCAGCCTCAATCTCTTCTAAAAGCCACATACTTTATTTCAGGCTTCGGGTGTTCAACTGGATCCCTCGAAGAAGCATCTGGGAAGAGGCAAAGCCCAAGGAGATTACCAATTTATACACCATCACTGCCTTGGCCTGGAAGCGGGATGGCTCACGGCTCTGTGTGGTGTGTTACTAGTAATCCCTTTCTGGATTGGTGACTTTCACCAAACTAGAAAAAAATCCTGCCTTATCCTAAAGCACTGTTCCCTGACACTATAGAATCTCCTCTTTCCTTTTGACCCTGACCTAAAATTCTGGCATTAAAGGCAGGAAAGAGAAATTCATACTTTACCCTAGGTCACAAAAGGGACAAAAAATTGTGTGTAGGCAGGGCTAGTTTTTCCCTTTTATCCCATTAATATGTTGTGCCCTTGAGTCCAATGATTGTAGCCTCTTTCCTTTTGGTAATTCCAAAAACTGCCAGCTCTTTCACTGCCAACTCTTCTCTAGACTCTAGAGCTTAGGTTTTGAGGATGTCTCTAGATACTCTCCCCATGCCAGTGTACTATGTGTGTGACCTTTTATGCTGTCACTTTCCCTTCTAGGGCACACTATGTGGTGGGGTGGAACAGTTTGACTGCTGCCTCCGAAGGAGTATTTACAAGAACAAGTTTGAGTTGACGTATGTGGGACCTAGCCAGGTAAGCAGGATGGTAGCCTACTGCACTGAGAACTTGCGTGGCTCATTCCTCCTTATAACATTTCCCTGCCTTCTGGCCACAGCCATAGTTCAAATTTAATCTTCATCCCTCTGGAAGAGCTGTTCTGGGCAACAGAATATGTCAGGGCAACACCGTGGTAACTTTCCTGCTGTAGTTCTTGCAGCTTATTATAAGAAAAGTTTTGGCTGGACACAGTGGCTCATGCCTGTAATCCCAGCACTTTGGGAGGCCGAGGCGGGCGGATCACAAGGTCAGGAGATTGAGACCATCCTGGCTAATATGGTGAAACCCCGTCTCTACTAAAAATACAAAAAAATTAGCCGGGCGTTGTGGCGGGTGCCTGTAGTCCCAGCTACTTGGGAGGCTGAGGCAGGAAAATGGCATGAACCCAGGAGGCGGAGCTTGCAGTGAGCTGAGATTGCACCACTGCACTCCATCCTGGGTGACAGAGCAAGACTCTGTCTCAAAAAAAAAGAAAAGTTTTAAGCACCAGGCATAAGGTGTGCAGAGATTGCCACTTAAGCCTTCCTGACTTAAAACTTTACTGGCTACACACTGGCAATTGGGCAGTTGGATAAATAGGATTATAAATGTGAACTCTGTTGTTTTAAGGCCTCTGAGCTCACTGTGTATGATGTTGCAAGCTAAAAATTTCTCAGTTCCTGGGCCCACTTTTCTCTTTTTTCTACCTCTGTCCTTCCATTTATTATACATTGGTTTCTTCATTCTTTTGTTCTTTCCAGAAACATTTATTCATTCTCTACTATGTGTCAGCAGTGTTAGGCATTGGGAATACACAGATAATTATCTGTAAGACATTGTCCCTTGATCAAAGAGATCATTATAACAGAGGACACAGACATATCAAAAAATAATATTAGCCAGATGCAGTGGCACATGCCTGTAGTCTCAGCTACTCAGAAGGCCGAGACAGGAGGATTGCTTGAACCCAGGAGTTCAAGGCCAGTCTAAGCAACATACTGAGACCCTGTCAAGTCAGTCAATCAACTGATCAATACATACACTGTGATCAATGATATATAAGGTTTGTACAAAGACCATGAGAACATAGAGTGATTGGTTTTACCCAGTGGAACTTTCAGAATTATATAAATTATGAGTGTCAAAAGAGATAATATAGGAAAGCATTTCATAAATAGTAAAGCCCCATATAAACATAAGATATCATTACTATCAACAATATCCTAGACCCAGGGAAGAAACAAGGTATTAGCTTTGTTTAGTGCTGTGGAGGTGGGCAAAGGTCATGGTTGTTCACCCTTCTTTTGGGCTGGGGAAGCCTAAGGGGCTCACACTTGTCCTTTACCAAGGTGATTGTGAAGAACCTGTCATCAGGAACCCGAGTGGTGCTCAAGTCACACTATGGCTATGAGGTGGAAGAGGTGAAAATCCTAGGAAAGGAACGTTACTTGGTGGCTCACACATCAGAAACACTGCTGCTGGGGGACCTGAACACTAATCGGCTTAGTGAGGTAGGAACCAAAATTGAGGGTAGGGTGGGGAATAGGGCATCTTGGCTTAATATTTGTGGGGACCCAAAATCCCTAGGGGTAAGCTCTCCATGAGAAGTTCTAACATTCTGGTGTAGGGGACCTGGTTTCAGGGAAGGAGACCCAGGAGTTTTATAATCCCAGAGTATGAATCACCATATTTGGACTGTTTTTATGCCATCTCTCAGAAAATCTCTCTGGTTTCTCTCAGGGACCAGAGCAGATTCTGATACAGCACCTCTTTTGTGTAGTGCCAAAGCCTACATAAATATATCTTTCCACTTCCCAACCTGTCATTCTTCATTCTTTCGGCATTATCTTGGGTATTTATCCACATTGCTTCTTAAGTCTTCTCCCGTTACAGATAGCCTGGCAAGGATCTGGTGGCAATGAGAAGTATTTCTTTGAAAATGAGAATGTGAGTAGAGCTTGATTCACCATCACCATCTTGATAAGCCTCCTTCTAGCTTCTGTGTCATAAAGATGGCAAGTTGCAAGGGATAGGGAAACAGCAGATAAAGAAACAGGGAGGATGAAATTGGCAGGGTAAGAGAACAAGGAGAAAAGTGGTAGTCACCTTGAACTGACAGTACACCTCCCACTACTGTTTTTCTTCATGTAGCCTTTCCACCGTATAACAACTCCATTTTTCCCAGGTATGCATGATCTTCAATGCCGGAGAGCTAACCCTGGTGGAATATGGGAATAATGACACCCTGGGTTCTGTACGCACTGAATTCATGAACCCCCACCTCATCAGGTAACCTCACAAGATTCTCTGAATCCCTGAAACCCAGAATAATTCCTTTTGGACTCCTAAATTCTGTGTCCTCCAGTTAATCCAAAAGCTTCAGCCAGGTGTGGTGGCTCATGCCTATAATCCCAGCACTTTGGGAGGAGGAGGCAAGCAGATTACTTGAGTCCAGGAGTTCAAGACCAGCCTGGGCAACATGGTGAAACCCCATCTCTACTAAAAATACAAAAAATTATCCAGGCATGGTGGCACACCCCTGTAGTCCCAGTTACTCAGGAAGGTGAGGTAGGAGAATCACCCGGAGCCTGGGAAGTCAAAGCTGTAGTGAGCCGTGATCACACCACTGCACTTCAGCTTTGGCAACCAGAGTGAGACCCTGTCTCAAAATAAATAAATAAATAAATAAAAGCTTCATCCCATATGGTACTTCAGAGCCTTTAATAAACATCCCAACTACCTCAGCCCATTTTGCCTTACCTCACCCTTCATGTTTCAGTGTTCGTATTAATGAGAGGTGTCAGCGAGGAACAGAAGATAATAAGAAATTGGCTTATCTTATTGATATTAAGACTATTGCTATAGGTGAGTAAGACTCTCTCATAATTTTAATAACAAAATAGATGTTTATATCACACTTCCATACCACAGGATTGCATTCAGTGGGGAATGCAGGAATCTGAGACGCACCAGGTAAATAGTAACTCCACATGTACAGTGGATATATATGAAATGTTTAAGTCAATATGTGTGCATCTGTACCTGGATATCTAGATATAAAAACAAAGGTTCAGTCCAGGCACAGTTACTCATGCTTGTAATCCCAGCACTTTGAAAGGGCAAGGCAGGATCATTTGAGCCCAGTAGTCCAAGGCTGCAGTGAGCTATGTTTGTGCCACTGCACTCCAGCCTAGATGATGGAGTAAGACCCCATCTCTTAAAACAAAAACAAAAACAAAACCCAGAGGTCCATATAATTATTCACGTTCTCTAGACATATATCTTAGGGTTGGCAAATTGTGAGTAGTAGAGAAGGCCCATTAAATTTATGAATTTTCCTGTTTTCACTTCATAGAATCATAGACTGTTAGAACTGGAAGAGGTCTTATTTTTTGTATAGTTTATCATTAGTAACTAATAATGACAGAAATTTTATTTGCATTTCACAAATATTAACATATAAGATTTATAAATCTTATATGTTCATATTTTTATCGTGAAATGTTTCAAGCATAAAAAGTAGTATAGAGAATAGCATTACCTATACAATGTAGCTGTTAAAAATGGGGCTCTGGGCCAGGCACAGTGGCTCACACCTGTAATCCCACCACTTTGGGAGGCTGAGGCGGGCGGATTGCTTGAGCTCAGGAGTTTGAGACCAGCCTAGGCAACATGGTGAGACCCTATCTCTATGAAAAAAGAAATTAATTAAATTTAAAAAAAAAAAAGAATGGGACTCTAGAGTCAAACCATCTCAATTCTCTACCTGTGTGATCTCAGGAAGTTACTTCATCTTTCTATATCTCAATTTCCTCATCTACAAAATAGGGATAAAAATAGTACTTTATATGAAATACACTTATCCCTGGTACATAATAATAAATGTTAGCTATAAATAATGATATTTTTCTTGCTTTGGCAGTACATATATTAAAATTGGAATGATAAAGAGAAGATTAGCATGGCCCCGTGCAAGGATGACACACAAATTTATGAAGCTTTCCACTTTAAACCAATTTTTTAAAAGAAGATATTATCACTTGTTTATCCATACCCAGTTCTGTCAAATCCTGACATTTTGTTATATTTACATTGAATCATTTTATATCCTCCCTCTTATTGATGGGCATTTAAGTTGCTGATTTTTCACTATTACAGTGATTCAGTTAGTTCCATGCCTAGAATGGAACTGCTAAATCATAGAGGAGCTGTGTCTTCAACTTCACTATTTCCAAATTGTTCTCTAAAAAAGTTATACCAATTTCTATTCCCACCAGCAGTTAGAGTTTCTATTGTCTGACATCTTCTGTAATACTTGAAATTGCCTGACTTCATAATTTGGCTTAAACGTGATATATATAAAATTAGATCTCATATTAATTTCATATATAATAATTATTGACCATTTATATTTCTTCTGTGAATTGCTAGTTCCTATCTCTTACCCATTTTTAAAATCAGAGTGTCTCTTCCTCATTGATTTGAAGGAGTTCTTTGCATATGCTTGTATAGACTTTGGTGGTTATTTGCATTGCAGATATTTTTGCCTCAGCCTGTGGCTTGTCTTTTCTCTCCTTTTGGGAGTCTTTTACTGTTCAGACATTTCACTTTAAAATAGTCCATTTTTTTTCACTTAAAAAAAAAAACAGTTTGAGGCCGGGCACAGTGACTTATGCCTGTAATCCCAGCACTTTGGTAGGCCAAGGCAGGCGGATCACCTGAGGTCAGGAGTTCAAGACCAGCCTGGCCAACATGGTGAAACCCCGTCTCTACCAAAAATACAAAAATTAGCCGGGCATGGTGGAGGGCACCTGTAATCCCAGCTACTCGGGAGGCTGAGGCAGGAGAATCACTTGAACCGGGGAGGTGGAGGTTGCAGTGAGCTGAGATTGTGCCACTGCACTCTAACCTGGGCGATAAGAGTGAAACTCCGTCTCCAACAAAAAAAAGAAAAGAAAAAGAAAATAGTTTATGATGCTTTAAGTCTAATTTAAGAAATCCTTTCCTATTCCCTCCTATATTTTAACATTTTTAAATTTTGCTTTTCACCTGGAATTTGTTTTTATGTATAATGTGGGTAGCGATCTAATTTTATTTTTTTCCATATGTTTAACCATTTGTTGAAAGTCCATTCTTCACCCACTAATTTGTAACGCAATCTCTGTCACAAATCAAGTTTCCATATACATGAGTCCATTCTTAAAATAGTTGCACATTTCATGAATATTATATTTCACATTAGGTTTCTGCACTCAGAAATGTAGGTATCTATAATGGAAACAATAATGTAGACCAAGAGGCCTAAGATTCGAGCAGCAAAAATGAGTTGTGAGAACTTGGACAAGCAATTTCACTCTGTAGGTCTCATTTTCAATGTATGTAAAATGACAGAGTTCAAGGCCGGGTACGGTGGCTCATGCCTATAATCCCAATACTTTGAGAGGCCGAGGCGGGCGGATCACCTGAGGTCAGGAGTTCGAGACCAGCCTGACCAACGTGGTGAAACCCCATCTCTACTAAAAATACAAAAATTAGCCGGGCATGGTGGCGGGTGCCTATAATCCCAGCTACTCGGGAGGCTGAGGCAGGAGAATCGCCTGAATCCAGGAGGTGGAGGTTACAGTGAGCCGAGATCGTGCCACTGCACTCCAGCCTGGGTGAGAAGAGTGAAACTCTGTCTCGGGGGAAAAAAAATAAAAATAAAAAAGTTCTTCTCTTAACTTTTTTGGGCTATCAACCCTTTGGAGTATCTAAAATCGTAGACCTTCTCAGAGAAAAATATATACTGTACACACATAATTTTGTGTATAATTTCAGGGTTCTGAGGAGTTAGGGCCGTCGCCACTCTAGAACTCTGATTCTACTTATAATTGGGGCATTAAAATATGGCTTTATCGGCCAGGCGCAGTGGCTCACGCCTGTAATCCCAACACTTTGGGAGGCTGAGACAGGCGGATCACGAGGTCAGGAGATTGAGACCATCCTGGCTAACACGGTGAAACCCTGTCTCTACTAAAAATACAAAAAATTAGCCGGTCGTGGTGGCTGGCGCCTGTAGTCCCAGCTACTCAGGAGGCTGAGGCGGGAGAAAAAAAAAATACGGCTTTATCATTTTCCTTTTTTTTTTTTTTTTTTTGAGACAGAGTCTTGCTCTGTCATCCAGGCTGGAGTGAAGTGGCGCGATCTCAGCTCACTGCAAGCTCTGCCTCCCGGGTTCACGCCATTCTCCCGCCTCAGCCTCCCGAGTAGCTGGGACTACAGGTGCCAGCCACCACGCCCAGCTAATTTTTTTTGTATTTTTAGTAGAGACAGGGTTTCACCATGTTGGCCAGGCTGGTCTCCAACTCCTGACCTCAGGTGATCTGCCCACCTTGGCTTCCCAAAGTGCTGAGATTACAGGCATGAGCCACCATGCCCTGCCGATTTTACTTTTTAATTAAAGGAAGATTGTTTTTTAAATTGGTCTTCACAATTATGGACACCAGTGGACATTTGGTCTTTAGCTTAAGCATATATAACAAAGTGGGGCCCATTGTTCATTAATAATGGATATCACTAAAACTTATAAATAGGCTTTGATCAAGAGACCCCCTGAAACCATCCCAGCCAACCCTAATTGGTCTGCTCTAAATGTGATAGTTTCTGATAATGTCTAGAAGATTCAAACCAAACTAAAATATTCATCCTCTGCAGTGACCAGCCTAACTTTAGTCAGAGGTTTGTCTGTTGCCTTCCCCACCATCCACCCTTGCAGTGCTCTTACACAGTAGGCATTCAAATATACGGGTGACTTCTTAGAGCATATGACCATCAAGGTCATTGATTCATCAGCCTTGTCTCACTGCTGTATTGTATCAGGCTTATCTTTAATGTGCTCAGTGCTGCCTTCGAGGGGATTCTGTGAGTAGGAGAAGCCACTTGCTCAATAGTTCTAGTCTGCTCTGAGGTAACTCCATAAGCCCCAGAGAGTGATGACATTTCTGTGGGTCTGGACCTTTTGAGTTAACAACATAGTTAAACAAAACCTCTACAATTCTAAAAGAGACCTAGCTTCCTAGGCATCCTAGCAAAATTATGTGTGTTGGCCATACTATGTATATGTGTGGAATCTCTCTTCTTAACCCTGTCTCCTTTATTCTATAGTGGATCTGATTGGTGGCTACAACATTGGCACCGTCAGCCATGAGAGCCGTGTGGATTGGCTGGAACTTAATGAGACTGGACACAAGCTCCTCTTCAGGGACCGGAAACTTCGTGTGAGAAGAGCTACTAAGGCCTTAGGCATTGGCTGGCCCACAGAGGGTGTGAGACAAGCTGCCACCAGGGACTGAGGGAGGCAGGATGGAGCACATTGTCTTTGCTGTGTCATCAACATGGCAGAAGGCACAGAAGAATCAACATTCTCTGTAGCTGATACCAAAACTGATAGCAAAACCCATCCTTTATTACCTCTTTTTTTTTTTTTTTGGAGACAGTGTCTCACTCTGTCACCCAGGCTGGAGTGCAGTGGTACAATCTGGGCTCACTGCAACTTCTGCCTCCCGGGTTCAAGTGATTCTCCTGCCTCAGCCTCCCCAGTAGCTGGGACTACAGGCACGTGCCACCACACCTAGATAATTTTTGTATTTTTAGTAGAGATGGGTTTTCACCATGTTGGCCAGGCTGGTCTCGAACTCCTGACCTCCTGGCCTCAGGTGATCTGCCTGCCTCTGCCTCTCAAAGTGCTGGGATTACAGGTGTTGAGCCATGCGCCCAGCAATCCTGTATGACCTCAGAGGTGATTGTATTATGGCAACAAAGTCAAGAAGGGAGTTTGGAAGTTGGTGTCTCTTACTATTCACAGTCTGTGCCCTCAGGAAACTTCCTTAACCCTGCATTCCTCCTCCTCATGCCTAGCTGACCTTCACCTAGACCTGCTGTCCAGTGCTTTTCAGCCACACTTATCTGATAGCATGAACTGGCTGGAGGACAGCCTCTTCGTCCCTCATTGATTCTCATCCCAATATGGTAGCACCAGAGTCTTCAACCTCAGATCAAAGAGACAACCTGATGACTTTTCATTTCAGTGAAAGCCACATCACAAATTTCTGGATAATTTAATTTTTCTAGTGGCCTGCCATTTGTAATCCAAGCTGGTAACTCTGGCCCAGAGTTATTTCAAGAAGGAAAGTCTGACCTTCACCTAACTTAAAATTCCTGGGATGTAGATCTTTGTTCTATGGGTCATCTCTTACTTGACCAGAGTTAGGATATACCAGCTCAGCAGAAAGCAGGTCAGTAAGCTTTGAAATGCAGCATGAACCTGAGTGGTGGGTTAGCTCACCACATCTCACCATTAGGAAAATGGTCAAAAGCAGGAGACAACCCCACATCCCCTTGTAATTGTGTTACCTGCCTTTTCTTTCTTCAGTTGCATCTGTATGATATTGAAAGCTGCTCTAAGACAATGATCCTCAACTTCTGCTCCTATATGCAGTGGGTCCCAGGAAGTGACGTGCTGGTAGCTCAGAACCGAAACAGTCTGTGTGTATGGTACAACATTGAGGCACCTGAGAGAGTCACCATGTTCACTATTAGGGTATGTTGGACACTAGGGGCCCTCAGATGTGGTATTGAGCTGATTAATTAGAGCCATGAGGAGACTCTGAAGGCTACTTGGTTTTCTGTGTCCACCACCCTTAATCTCTGTGATAGAATTGGCAAATAAAGCTTAGACTTATGGACCAGCCCCCAGAACCATCCTTTTTCAGATTCCTGACATTATATTAGACCCTTGGAGTATGGGTTCATTACAGTGGCCCCGGGAAGTCACCAGGTCATAATATGGAGATCCCTGTAGGCTGGAAGATCCCTGATAGGAGAGGCAGTTCTAATGTCATCTCCTTCTATGCTGATTCTCCGTTATAAGCCATTCAAAGTGCCTTTTTTTCTCAAATTACAGATCAGCTCTTCTCTCCTGTCCTACCACAACATCATACATACCCAGTAGTCTTCCAAAATCTGGGAGGAGCCAGAGAAAACGAGAGGCAGGCTCCTGTGCTAGGCTAGGAGTGTGTGTGTATGGGTAGAGCGCTTGATGCTTTCTTTTTGTCCTTTTCCATACCTTTTTAAAATCTCCTTTTTACCTCATTTTAAACTGATTAGGGTCTAAAATTTATTTGTTTAGTTCTTTCTTTCTTTTTCTTTCTCTTTCTCTCCTTCTCTCTTTTACTCTTTCTTCCTCTCTTTTTTTTTTCTCTCTCTCTTTCTCTCTCTTCTTTCTGAGACAGGGTCTCCCACTATCTCCCAGGCTGGAGTGCAGTGATACAGTCATAGCTCATTGCAGCTCAGCCTCCTGGGCTCAGCCAATCCTCCTGCCTCAGCCCCCTGTACAGCTAGGACTACAGGTGCATGCCACCATGTCCAGCTAATTTTGTGTTTAATTTCTTTAAGCACCTTTTTTTTTTCTCCACATTTTGGGTTTGAAAGTTATATGTCCTGTTTCTGTAGAGGTTACCTTGAAAGTTTAACATGTAGTTAAATGAACAAAGTCTAAAGTTAATCAGCATCTAACCACTCCCCTGCAAACAATACAAGACTTTAACTTTCATCTCCTCCCCTTTGTCATTGTTGTCCAGTATTTTAGTTCTAATCTTATTTTGTCTCCAAAGTTAGGCATGATTATTTTATTTTATTTGAGACAGAGTCTCTCTGTCACCCAGGCTGGAGTGCAGTGGCGTCATCTCGGCTCACTGCAACCTCTGTCTCCTGGATTCAAGAGAGTCTCCTGCCTCAGCATCCCAAGTAGCTGGGATTACAGGTACCTGTCACCATGCCCAGCTAATTTTTGTATTTTTAGTAGAGATGAGGTTTCGCCATGTTGGCCAGACTGATCTCGAATTCCTGACCTTAGGTGATCCACCCGCCTTGGCCTCCCAAAGTGCTGGGATTACAGGCATGAGCCACCACGCCCTGCCTGATTATTTTATAAGACAGGATTCATTTAGATTTACCATCAAGGTACCAGTTCCTTTGTTTACCTTTTCTTGCAATGCTAATCTTCCCTCTGGAATGACTTTTCTTCTTCCTGAAGAATATTATTTAGAAGTTTTTTGTTTCTGTTTTTTGTTTTTTGAGACAGGGTCTCACTCTGTTGCCCAGGCTGGCGTACAGTGGCACAATCTTGGCTCATTGCAACCTCCACCTCCCAGGTTCAAGTGATTCTCCCACCTCAGCGTCCTGAGAAGCTGGGATTACAGGCATGTGCCACCATGCCTGGCTAATTTTTGTATTTTTAGTAGAGACGGGTTTCACCATGTTGGCCAGGCTAGTCTCGAACTCTTGACCTCAAGTGATCCGCCTCCGTCAGGCTCCCAAAGTGCTGGGATTACAGACATGAGCCACTGCGCCCAGCCTTATTTAGAAATTTCTTTAGTGAAAGATGATAAATTTTCAGTTTTTCATTATCTGAACATGTTTTTATCTAGCCTTTGTTCTGAAAAGATGCTTGGACTCAGTACCCAGTTCTAGATTGACAGTTAATTTTTCTTAATTTGTAAATGTTGTTTCATTGATTGACTTCCATTGTTGTTCGGAAAAATTTATCATCAGCCATTTCTGTACAGGTGATCTGTCTTTTCTCTTTGGTTTCTCTTTTTTTTTTTCTTTTTTTTTTTTTGAGACGGAGTGTCGCTCTGTTGCCCAGGCTGGAGTGCAGTGGCGTGATCTCAGCTCACTGCAACCTCTGCCTCCTGGGTTCATGCCATTCTCCTGCCTCAGCCTCCCAAGTAGCTAGGACTACAGGCGCCTGCCACCATGCCCGGCTAATTTTTTGTATTTTTAATAGAGATGGGGTTTCACCGTGTTAGCCAGGATGGTCTTGATCTCCTGACCTCGTGATCTGCCCGCCTCAGCATCCCAAAGTGCTGGGATTACAGGCGTTAACCATCGTGCCTGGCCTCTCTTTGGTTTCTTTTAAAGTCTTCTTTTTTAGGACCGGGCACAGTGGCTCACACATATAATTCCAGCACTTTGGGAGGCTGAGACAGGCGGATCACTTGAGGCCAGAAGTTCAAGATCAGCCTGGCTAACATGGCGAAACCGCATCTCTACTAAAAAGAACAAAAATTACCTGGGCATGGTGGCATGCTCCTGTAATCCTACCTTCTCGAGAGGCTGAGGCATGAGAATTGCTTGAACCTGGGAGGCAAAGGTTGCAATGAGCCGAGGTTGTACCACTGCACTCCAGCCTGAACGACAGAGTAAGACTCTGTCTCAGAAACAAACAAACAAAAAAATCTTCTCTTTTTCTTAGGTGTTTTGAAGTTTCACTACAATGTGTCTAGATATAATTTTTTTTTTTTTTTTGAGACAGAGTCTTGCTCTGTCATCCAGGCTGGAGTGCAGTGGCACAATCTTGGTTTACTGCAACCTCTTCCTCCCGGGTTTAAGCAATTCTCCTGCCTCAGCCTCCTAAGTAGCTGGAACTGCAGGCGCATGCCACCACACCCAGCTAATTTTTTGTATTTTTAGTAGAGATGGAGTTTCACCGTGTTGGCCAGGGTGGTCTCAATCTCCTGACCTTGTGATCCGCCAGCCTCAGCCTCCCATAGTGCTGGGATTACAGGCATGAGCCACTGCACCCAGCCATAAATTTTTAAAATTTATCCTGCTTAGTATAGATTGTGTTTCCTGTGTTTATGAATACACATATTTTCATCACTCTTGGAAGTTTCTTAGTTATTATCTCTTTGAACGTTCTTCTCCTCAGCCATTCTCTAGTCTCTTCAGAACTCTAGTTAGGCAAATGTTAGATTTCTTGTTTTACATTTTTAATTTCTCTTTCATAGTTTCTTTCTTCCTGCTCCATGCTTCATTCTGGATAATTTCCTTTTTTTTTTTTTTTTTTTTTTTGGAGACAGGGTCTCATTCTGTTGCGCCATGCTGGAGTGCAGTGGCGTGATCTTGGCTCACTGCAGCCTCAGCCTCCTGGGCTCAAGCTATACTCCTATCTCAGCCTCCTGAGTAGCTGGGACTACAGGCGTATGCCACTACAGGCGTATGCCACCATGCCCTGCTTTTTTTTTTTTTTTTTTTTTTTTTTTTTTTCAATTTTCTGTAAAGACAAGTTCTCACTGTGTTTCCCAGGCTGGTCTCAAACTCCTGGGCTCAAGCAGTCCTCCTGCCTGAGCCTCCCAAAGTGCTGGGATTACAGGCATGAGCCACTGCATCTGGCCTCTGGATAATTTCTGTAGATCTGTTTCGATTCATTAATTTGCTTTTTATCATTGTCTAATCTGCTATTTAAACTGTACATTGAGTTTTTTACTTCAAATATTAAATTTTTCTTTAAGTTTTATTTGATTATTTCTCCAGTCTGCCTGGCCATATTGATAATTTCTTATTCCTTGCTTAATTTTTCATTTCATCTTTTAAGGTATTTAGGTGCTTCATAAATAATCATTTTATATTCCATAACTGGGCTTAAAAACAAAACAAAAACAAAATGAAACAAAAAAACAGGGTCTCACTTTGTCACCCAGGCTGTGAAGTGGCATGATCATGGCTCACTGCATGAGCAAACTCCTGGGCTCAAGTGATCTCTCACCTCAGCCTCCTGAGTAGCTGGGACTACAGGCACATGCAACCACACCCAGATAATTTTTTTTTTTTCTTTCAGTAGAGATGAGGTCTTGCTATGTTGCCCAGGCTGGTCTTGAACTCCTGAGCTCAAGTGCTCCTCCCACCTTGGTCTCGAAAAGTGCTGGGATTACAGGTATGAGCCACCGAGCCCGGCCTTTAACTGTTATTTTTAATATCTGAAATTCTTGAAGATCTAAAACTGTTGTTTGTAGTTATTGTTTACTTTTTCATAGTGGTTGGTTTCCTTGTATTTTTTTCCTTTTTATTGTGAGCTCATGTTGCTTTGAATGTATTTTTTTGGAATCCTGAGGGCTTAAAATGGATATGTTCTCCTCCAGTGATGATTCGGTCTTGCTTCTGCAGGAATCAGGCATATTAATGATCTGTAACCATTTCTTTTGTTCCCTTTACTAAAGAGTGGATCCTAGGTTTAATTAAGGATTTTCAAATTCAGACTCCCCATCCTGCTGGAGGGCCTGAGGTTTATTCTCCTGACACTGCATTTGCTTTCAGGACAACTGTACTTTTCCCATTTGCTCACTTTCTTTTTTTTCTTGCTCAGGATTTAGCTTATTGACCTTTTTCTTTCAGTCTGTCTTTTTCTGAGAGAGAAGGGTAGGATATGGGTAGGGAATATTCTTAGTGATTTCTTCAAGTAAGCCCAAGCAATGCATTAAAAAGTATGTTCCAGGTTCAAGTCATATTTTAATGAGAGATCCCTTAAGAATATCTTACTCTTATGGTACTGCTGGAAGCAGAAGTGAATGCCACACTTTATACCTCCAAGAGTTGGTGCTGTCATAGGAGTATACTTTAACCCAAGGATATTGCTATAAATGAAGTATTTTTTTATGCTTGAGAGAAACTAAAATGTTAGGAAAATCAGGGCCGCTGTGACTCTCTTGACCACTGACTGGGTCGGATGAGGGTGGGTCTTTTCTATAATTGATTCAGTGGAAACTAACCTGAAATTGGGGTGGGTTGGGGGATAAACTTTTACAGGGTGATGTTATAGGTCTGGAGCGGGGCGGGGGAAAGACCGAGGTGATGGTGATGGAAGGTGTGACTACTGTTGCCTACACATTGGATGAGGGCCTCATCGAGTTTGGAACAGCCATTGATGATGGCAACTACATCCGGTGAGAGGCTGGCCAATAACCAGTGAGGTGGTGGGAGAGTCTGGTTCTGAGAGGGGAGGACCTGGGGTGGGGTGTAAAACTGGCCAGCACTAATAAGGATCCAGTGATCCTGGGAGGAGATGAGACAAAGATGGCCCTTCCCCCTCCCCTTGCCCCATCACCAGTCTTCTGCTGTATCTTCCTAACCCATTCCTCATTCATTATGCTTTGCTTCCTTCCCTTTCCAGGGCAACAGCCTTCTTAGAGACTCTGGAAATGACCCCAGAAACAGAGGCAATGTGGAAAACCTTGAGTAAACTGGCACTAGAGGCAAGGCAACTACACATTGCGGAGAGGTGAGGTAGACATGTAGAACAGAGGTGCCACGCAGCTAGGAGGGATAATCACATGAGTATTTTCCCTGTGGGCTACTCCAATCCGGTGTTAAGGTACTCCCTCCCTTCCCACTGCCAGCAAATAGCATAGAGCCCTTCTGCAGTACAATATTCCAAACACTCTCCCATCCTAGATTATAAGAGTATGCCTTGACCAGGCGTGATGGCTGATGCCTGTAATCCCAGCACTTTGGGAGGCTGAGGTGGGCAGATCACAAGGTCAGGAGTTCAAGACCAGCCTGGCCAACATGGTGAAACCCCGTCTCTACTAAAAATACAAAAATTAGCCAGGCGTAGTGGCGGGCGCCTGTAATCCCAGCTACTGAGGAGGCTGAGGCAGGAGAATTGCTTGAACCCAGGAGGCAGAGGTTGCAGTGAGCTGAGATTGCACCACTGTACTCCAGCCTGGGTGACAGAGCAAGACTCTGTCTCAAAAAAAAAAAAAATATGTCTTGGCTGGGCACGGCGGCTCATGCCTGTAATCCTAGCACTTTGGGAGGGCGAGGTGGGCAGATCACTTGAAGCCAGGAGTTTGAGAGCAGCCTGGCCAACATGGCAAAACCTCAGCTCTACTAAAAATACAAAAATTAGCCGGGCATGGTGATGCGCACCTGTGGTCCCAGCTATTCAGGAGGCTGAGGCACAGGAATCACTTGAACCCGGGAGGCAAAGTTGCGGTGAGCTGAGATCATGCAACTGCACTCCAGCCTGGCTGATGCGCGAGATCGTATCTCAAAAAAAAAAAAAGTGAAAAAACAAGAGTATGTCTTTTATTATTTTTACTGCCCCTTCTTGTAACTAGGTTCCCTTTAGCATTTTTTTACTATTCATACCCTTCAATCTATGCATATGTGTATAATCCAGGTTTGGTATAGGAGTGCAGTTCACAGGACAAACTTGGGACTCCAGACTCCTTGAATTCAAATCTTGGTTCCAATTACCAACTTATATAACCATAGAGAGGTTATTTGACCTTCCCAAACCTTGGCTTCTTGATTTTCTCTGTGTAGAATAGGGTTAATAATAGTATTTGCCTCATATGATGATAAAGAAGATGGTAAGGATATTGGTAATGAAGGAGTGATGAGAGAATCTGTGCAAAGTGCTCGATAAATGTCACCTGCTGCCATTTTGGCTAGGAATCATCCTTGATCCCATTTTCTCCAGACTTCCCACATGTAGATTATCAGTAAGTCCTAAGGACTCTGTCTTCAAAACACATCCTGATGTCTCCATCCTTGTGCAGACCACTGCCGTCTCCCACCTGCAATATTGCACAGCCTCTTAATTAGTCGCACTGATACTGTTTCTTGTACCCCTACCATCTATTCATCCCAGAGCAGCTGAGGTCATTTTTTTAAACATAGATTGTGTCATTTTCATGACTGGAACCTTCCATTAGCTTACTGTTTTACTTAGTATAAAACCCAAACTCCTTGTGTGGCCTTAGCCCTGAAGTTTTTTGGCCTCTGCTTCCTTCTCATGCCAGCTTCCTGCTTGCCCATTAGTCTCCAACCACACTGGCATCCTTTTGGCTCTGTGAGTGTGCCAAGCTCATACCTGCTATAGAGCCTTAACACTAGCTGTTCGCTCTCCAGGAATAACTTTTCCCCATCCTGCCATGACTGGCTTTTTCTTGTATTCAGGTCTCAGCTCAAATGTCAGTTCATCAGAGAGACCTCCAACTACCAACTTAAGTGGCCCCTTCAGTCACTATCTATAACAGGGGTATCCAATCTTTGGCTTCCCTGAGCCACATCGGAAGAAGAATTATCTTGGGCCACACATAAAATATACTAACACTAATGATAGCTGATGAGCTTAAAAAAAAAAAAAAAAAAAGAGAAAAGAATCACAAAAAAATCTCATAATGTTTTAAGAAAGTTTATGAATTTGTGTTGGGCCACATTCAAAGCCATCTTGGGCCATGGGTTGAACAAGCTTGATCTGTAATATTACATTACTTTATTTTATTTTTTATTATCTCCAATTTTACTAATTATTTGTCTCCACCAGAATGGAAGTTCTCTGAGAGCAAGGCCCTCATCTTCCTTGGTCTCTATATGTCTCCAGTGACAAGACATTGGCTGGCACATCATAGATGTACATCAATTTGTATTTGCTGAACCAATGAATTAATGATGATTCTATAATAATATTACTATTAATGTTATTGCTTCCATGCCATAGGTGCTTTTCTGCTTTGGGCCAAGTAGCAAAAGCTCGATTCCTGCATGAGACCAATGAGATTGCAGATCAAGTATCCCGGGAATATGCAAGTATTATGCTCCTGATTCATTCTGTCTGTCTCCCAAGCTGATTTCTCTTAGTATTCAGCCCCATGATTCCTAGCTTTCCAGCCATCCCCAGTTTCCTTTACCCTGCCCACCCCACCTTTACCCTCAAGTCAGACCATTTCAGAATTGCTTTTGCTAAACCTCAAACCTTTAAGCTCCATGAAGTGTTTTACCTTCCCAAGTCTTTTGTTTTCTACATCCTTCTGGCCTTCCAATTTCAGCCCTCACAGACAGAATGGCAGCACCTACAGAAAAATCAGAACCTCCTTTTTCCCCCACAGGGCGGAGAAGGAACAGACTTTTATCAGGTCCGAGCACGTCTAGCCATGCTGGAAAAGAACTACAAACTGGCTGAAATGATCTTTTTGGAACAGGTAATAGGAAAAGAGGGACAGGATGGAAGAGGGGATATGAGGGAAAAAGAGAGAAAAGGGGGTACAAACTCAAGGGAGGAAAGCGTGCTGGTGAACTAGGCTTCCAAAGGTTTGGGGAAAACTTTCAAAGGGGTTTATATAGTTAATTTCACCCTTTTCTTAATTTCCTTCTCTTGTGTCAGTCCTTACTTTTCTAGACAAACTTCCTTCTTTGGCCTTTGATTACTACTTTCTTTCATAAGCAGTCTACTACCTCCCCTCCAGTCCAGAGCCTGTCTTTGCAATTCTTGTGCATAGGGGTAGATCCAGGTTTTGTGGGCCGGAAGCTTATACAATTTGAGGAGCTCTCTTTAAGAACAGTTGCCTTAGGCCAGGCGTGGTGGCTCACACCAGTAATCCCAGCACGCTGGGAGGCTGAGGCAGGTGGATCACATGAGGTCAGGAGTTCAAGACCAGCCTGGCCACATGGTGAAACCCCATCTCTACTAAAAATACAAAAAATTAGCCAGGAGTGGTGGCACACGCCTGTAATCCCAGCTACTCGGGAGGCTGAGGTGGGAGAATCGCTTGAGCCAAGGAAGCAGAGGTTGCAGTGAGCCCGAGATCACACAACTGCACTTCAGCCTCGGCAACAGAGTGAGACTCCATCTCAAGAAAAAGAACAGTTGCCTTGGAAAGGGTGTGTGCAAATAAGGAGCCCTGAAGCTTAAGCTTCTTTTAGTTTCCCAGTATTTCTGTTGGTATAGTAGTTAAAAGGCTTTTGGTCCTCATGGGCTGGCATCTTAGCCAGGCTGAGGAGAGCTTGCTGCTTTCTGATCCTCATATCTTTCTGGTGTCCCTCTCTGCTCTGCCTGTTTCCCCTAGAATGCTGTGGAGGAGGCCATGGGCATGTACCAGGAGCTACACCGTTGGGATGAGTGTATCGCTGTGGCTGAAGCCAAGGTACCTGTTTTATCTTCTCCACAGTTGTTCAGAATTTGGTTCTGCCAATTTCAAAAACCTCCTTTTGTCAAGGAGGCCATAGAAACCAGAACAGGGTTGGGGCTTGGACTTGATGTGGTGAGGAGTTAGGATACTGCTGACCCAGGAGGATTCCCCTTGTTATAGAGGGATTGGAGAAGCATGGGAGGCAGAAGGGTAGGAAGGGGGATGTGACTCCTAGTTGTCCTCTGTGCATGTCCAGGGGCACCCAGCCCTGGAGAAGCTACGTCGTAGTTACTACCAGTGGCTGATGGACACACAGCAAGAGGAGCGAGCAGGTGAACTACAGGAGAGCCAAGGGGATGGGCTAGCAGCCATCAGCCTCTACCTCAAAGCTGGGCTCCCTGCCAAAGCTGCTCGGCTGGTGCTGACCCGAGAGGAACTGCTAGCCAACACAGAGCTGGTAGAACACATCACTGCAGCCCTTATCAAGGGGGAACTCTACGAAAGGGTATGCTGGCTTCCTTTTCCTAGCCCTTATCTCCAGAGCTCAGGACCCTTCCCTTACCCAGAGGAGTCTTGGGGTGCAGAGCGCTTCCTGACTGCTGGTGTTCCCTTGTTTTCGGAGCTAATACTTAGTTCTTTGTGTTGTAGGGGTATCATAGTAATGTGGTATGTGTTAACAGGCAGGTGATCTCTTTGAGAAGATTCACAATCCACAGAAGGCCCTGGAGTGCTACCGTAAAGGCAACGCATTCATGAAAGGTACTAGCCACCTATAAGCCATCCTTTACTGTTGTGGACTCTTGCCCATCTGGTTCCCTGGCACCTCTTGTAGGGGTGGGTTGCCCCTACACACCTGTGGGTGTTTCTCGTAAGGTGGGACGAGAGATTTGGAAAAGAAAAAGACACAGAGACAAAGTATAGAGAAAGAAATAAGGGGACCCGGGGAACCAGCGTTCAGCATATGGAGGATCCCGCCAGCCTCTGAGTTCCCTTAGTATTTATTGATCATCTGTGGGTGTTTCTCAAAGAGGGGGATGTGTCAGGGTCACAAGACAATTGTGGGGAGAGGGTCAGCAGACAAACACGTGAACAAAGGTCTTTGCATCATAGACAATGTAAAGGATTAAGTGCTGTGCTTTTAGATATGCATACACATAAACATCTCAATGCTTTACAAAGCAGTATTGCTGCCCGCAGGTCCCACCTCCAGCCCTAAGGCGGTTTTTCCCTATCTCAGTAGATGGAGCATACAATCGGGTTTTATACCGAGACATTCCATTGCCCAGGGACGGGCAGGAGACAGATGCCTTCCTCTTGTCTCAACTGCAAGAGGCATTCCTTCCTCTTTTACTAATCCTCCTCAGCACAGACCCTTTACGGGTGTCGGGCTGGGGGACGGTCAGGTCTTTCCCTTCCCACGAGGCCATATTTCAGACTATCACATGGGGAGAAACCTTGGACAATACCTGGCTTTCCTAGGCAGAGGTACCTGCGGCCTTCCGCAGTTTTTGTGTCCCTGGGTACTTGAGATTAGGGAGTGGTGATGACTCTTAAGGAGCATGCTGCCTTCAAGCATCTGTTTAACAAAGCACATCTTGCACCGCCCTTAATCCATTCAACTCTGAGTGGACACAGCACATGTTTCAGAGAGCACGGGGTTGGGGGTAAGGTTATAGATTAACAGAATCTCAAGGCAGAAGAATTTTTCTTAGTACATAACAAAATGGAGTCTCCTATGTCTACTTCTTTCTACACAGACACAGTAACAATCTGATCTCTCTTGCTTTTCCCCACACCTCTTGGTGCGTGTGTTCAGGATGCCTGGCTCCAGTCCTCCATTCCTCCCCTTCTTACCTATTCTCCATGCTTCATCTCCCTGTCCTACCTTTTTCCTGAGGCCCATCCCTGGAAATCTGGGCTGAGCATCTTTTCTCTCCCTGGCAGCGGTAGAGCTGGCTCGATTGGCCTTCCCAGTGGAGGTGGTGAAACTAGAGGAGGCATGGGGGGACCACCTGGTGCAGCAGAAGCAGCTTGATGCAGCCATTAATCACTACATCGAAGCCAGGTATGGGAGTATGGGAATGTAAAGGAGATTTAGGTGTGAAGTGAGGGGCAGTGGAGCAAGTAAGGACACCAAGGCCTTAAAGAAGAGATCTCAAAATGTAGGTTGAAGTGTGCTTAAAGGGTCCTTTTACCTCCATTCATCTTCATCTTTCATCCTACATATTTATATCTTTCCCAACTTTGCCAGGTGCTCCATTAAGGCAATTGAGGCCGCCCTGGGTGCCCGCCAGTGGAAGAAGGCAATTTATATATTAGATCTACAGGACCGGAACACTGCATCCAAATACTATCCTCTCGTGGCCCAACACTATGCATCCCTGCAGGAGTATGAGGTGAGGAAGAGTCCCTTTCCGCAGCACGAGGCAATGCAGTAGAGGATAACAATGAGAGAACCCAAAGCAGGAAGTGGAGGCAAGTTCACCAGATCCTTCTTTCTGGGCTCCAAACAGCATCATCACCTTGAAGGGGAAGAGAACAGTTTACTTTCCCATTTTCATTCCAGTGTGACACAGATATCGCCCTTCACCCCAGATATATAAAGTGAGTCTCTAGCTGTGTTCCAGTCAGCGTGATTCTTCATGAATAATGCTAACATAGTTATGATATAAAATTGCTTTGCATTGCAGAAATGTGAGGCCCTTTTGGATTCCACTGTTTGGGGCTGGTCTTTCTTTTTAAATGGTAGAATGTATGAGACACCCATACTCATCTTTTCTTCTCTATTATTACAAGGTTGTATCGCAGGCTCTCCACCATCCCAGCCAAGGTTTGTTCTTTCCTCATTCAAGCTGCTTTAAGTCTGTTGCTCTGACCTTTTGTATCTACCTCCCATCAACTACAGATTGCTGAGGAGCTCTATACTAAGGGAGATCGGACAAAAGATGCCATAGACATGTACACCCAGGCTGGTCGTTGGGAACAAGCCCACAAGGTAGGGATGGGTGGAGTTCATGATAAGAGAACTCTGCCTTAGTGGCATTGTGGCCTCATTCCTTGATACCTGTTTCTCCTCTTCGCTTGGCTCCCTGAAAGCTGACAAAGAGTACCAAAAAACAGTCTGAGCCACTTTGATCCCTAGCCATAGGGAAAGGAAGGGATGAAGAGAGGCCCTTGTTTCCAGACCTATCTATCATTCTGAAGGAGCAGATGGGCTTGGGAGCTGGGGAATCTGAACTACCACTCCTAATGCCTCTGGTCACATTGATGACTTTGTTCTTGCGCCTACACTTCAGAGTCCAGTGGTTACCGTGGTAATGGGAGTGTATGCCCCAGCCAAGGCATCGCAGACCTTCCCACCTTAGCAGAATATAGTTCTTCCTCTGCTTCTTATGGACTTGGAATTCCCCAACCTCACTAGTAGAGTGGCAATACCCAAACTCCTGTGATTGTTGGGAGAGTTCAGAGTTTCTGAACAAGCAGGTTTCCTTGAAGCCCTGCTTCCCTGGGGAATTGGATCTGAGGCTGCCTTGCCTCTGTGCCTCCACAGCTGGCGATGAAATGCATGAGACCAGAAGATGTGTCAGTGCTATACATCACTCAGGCCCAGGAAATGGAGAAGCAGGGCAAGTACCGTGAGGCTGAAAGGTGAGCCGTGGCCCCAGAGGAGGTGTAGAGGGAGATGAGATTTCAAGGCTGGGACGAGGGATGGGGTCTGAGGATGTGTACCCTCTGCCCAGAAGGCAGTGATAGCAGGGGTCGGGTCTAGGAGGCCCCAGATGTATCTCCTTCCCCAGGCTATATGTGACAGTACAAGAGCCTGATCTTGCCATCACCATGTACAAAAAGCACAAGTTGTATGATGACATGATCCGCCTGGTAGGGAAGCACCATCCAGATCTCCTCAGTGATACACACCTACATCTGGGCAAGGTGAGCCCTTCTCCTGGCTCTCCCTATCTCTTCCCCAACCAGGCTCCATCTCCCCATCTCTCCATCCTGACTCACCTTCCTGCAGGAGCTGGAGGCTGAAGGCCGACTACAGGAGGCTGAGTACCACTACCTCGAGGCCCAGGAATGGAAGGCAACAGTGAACATGTACCGGGCCAGTGGGCTTTGGGAAGAGGCCTACAGGGTAAGGAGTTCAGGCCACACTGAGGGATACATCCATCCTTCTTTCCCACGTTTTTCCTTTTTTTCAGAAAGGGTCTCACTCTGTCACCCAGGCTGGAGTGCAGTGGTGCAATTATGGCTCACTGCAGCCTTGACCTCCTGGGCTTAAGCACTCGATCCTCCCACCTCAACCTCCTGAGTAGCTGGGACTATAGGTGTGCACCACCACAGCTGGCTAATTTTTTAATTTTTTTGTAGAGACAAGTTTTCACCATGTTGCCCAAGCTGGTCTTGAACTCCTGGGCTCAAGCGATCCACCTGCCTTGGCCTCCCAAAGTGTTGGGATTACAGCTATGAGCCACCTTGCCCAGCCCTTCTTTCCCACTTTAAGTGACTAATTCACAATTGGTCAGAGCATCTTTGAAAATGTAGTGAAGATCAGAGTCTCTCTTGCCAGAACCATGTCCACATCTGTATACAGAAAATTTCACTTATAATTTTAAGGGTCTGTGGACCAGGTGAAGCCTATCCTTGGACCCTAAGTACTTTAACCTAAGTTAAGAAACCCTGAAATTTAGCCCTCTTCCTGTTAACTTTTTATTTTATTTTATTTTTTGAGATGGAGTTTCGCTCTGTCACCCAGGCTGAAGTGCAGTGGCACAGTCTTGGCTCACTGCAACCTCCACCTCCCGGGTTCAAGCAATTTTTCTGCCTCAGCCTCCCGAGTAGCTGGGATTACAGGCACTCACCACCGTGCCCAGCTAATTTTTGTATTTTTAGTAGAGATGGGGTTTCACTATGTTGGCCAGGCTGGTCTCGAACTCCTGACCTCAAGTTATCCTCTTGCCTCGGCCTCCCAAAATGCTGGGATTATAGGTATGAGCCACCACACCCAGCCTCTTCCTGTTCAATTTAGAACAGTTACTGGATCCTTGTCAAAGCCGAGGTCAGAGATGAGAAGGGAGAAGCTCTGTATTGCAGGATTATTGAGTGACTTTGCTTTACAGGTGGCCAGAACTCAAGGAGGGGCTAATGCCCACAAACACGTGGCCTATCTGTGGGCAAAGAGCCTGGGAGGAGAGGCTGCAGTTAGACTGCTTAATAAGCTGGGACTCCTGGAAGCTGCTGTTGACCACGCTGCAGACAATTGGTGAGGCCCCAAGCTTTCTCTCCACGGGCCCCATCCCAGCCAGAGCCACTATCTAGAGAAAGAAAATTGATGTATAACTGAAAGAAAGATCCTTGGAAGGACATGATAGAGTGGCATGAATAAATTAACTGCTTCTATTCCCTAGGGGCTCAGAACAGTGTTTAACCTTTGGCTGTTCTAAGAAGGGTGGAGAGGAAACAGATTGTAAAGCTAGGACTGCAGACTGCACTAAACCAATAACTTACTCCTGGGTAATGGAAGTGTGATTCTGTCAAATGCAGAGTGAACTGTTTTTTTTTTTGAGACAGAGTCTCACTCCGTCGCCAGGCTGGAGTGCAGTGGCACGATATCAGCTCACTGCAACCTCCACCTCCTGGTTCAAATGATTCTCCTGCCTCAGCCTCCCGAGTAGCTGGGACTACAGGCATGCACCACCACGCCCATCTAATTTTTGTATTTTTAGTAGGGATGGGGTTTCACCATGTTGGCCAGGATGGTCTTGATCTCTTGACCTCGTGATCTGCCCACCTTGGCCTCCCAAAGTGCTGAGATTACAGGCGTGAGCCACTGCGCCTGGCCGAACTTTTCTTTTTTTTTGGAAGCACCAGAGTCCGTGAAGCATTTTATTTGTAAATATGTATTACATCTCTAGAAAAAGAATCCCAGGATTTTCCCTCCTATATGTTGCTGTCTTGCTTCTTCATGGTCCATGATGCCAACTGAGGTTGTCAGTACAATAAAACCAAACTGGCAGGATGGGAGCAGATTATTCTGCCATTTTTCTTTTTTGTTTTTTTTCTGAGACAGAGTCTCGCTCTGTTGCCCAGGCTGGAGTGCAGTGGTGCAACCTTGGCTCACTGCAAGCTCCGCCTCCCAGGTTCAAGCCATTCTCCTGCCTCAGCCTCCTGAGTAGCTGGGACTACAGGTGCCCGCCACCACGCCCGGCTAATTTTTTTGTACTTTTTTAGTAGAGACAGGGTTTCACCCTGTTAGCCAGGCTGGTCTCAATCTTCTGACCTTGTGATCCACCTGCCTTGGCCTCCCAAAGTGCTGGGATTACAGGCGTGAGCCACCGCGCCCGGCATATTCTGCCATTTTTCTAGATCTCTGATTTGCACATCAAATCTGGGGCTGATCACTCTACACTTGTTTAGCCTGCCTGTGAGGTTCACAGCAATTTTCCTAGCTGTGATCATCAATTATTTCAAAATCGCCAATTTACCATACTTCAGCATCACAATTAGAAACCAGACGATGACTTTGGAGCACAGCCTAATAAGGACCTGCCGTTTGCCTCTCTTTCTGGCATTGTTGATGCTCTTGAGCACATCAGCCAGGACATTCATGCGCACTATTGCGGCGGTGCAGAAAGATAGCCAAAAGAGCAAAGTGTTCTCAAGCTACTGTTATCAGTGCCAATCATGGAGTCCGATGCTGAGGGTGGTCTTGCTCATTTTTTGGAGAGACTCTGTTTCTGCTAATGTAGCTGGGGCTCAGGAAGAGATGGAGAGCACCAGGAGCCCTCCTAGCCCTGTCAGTGTAGGGCTGCGAGGCTCACTCCTCCCTTCCCCTTCGCAGGCCCAAACTAATTCCTCAGGAGCAGCTGGCCTCAGGGAAGGCATAGGCTTTTCCAGACGTCTCTTGATCCACGCTGACAGTGACATGGTCTTCACAGGGCTGCCTGCCCGTCTTCCTTTTTATCTCTCCACGCTTTTCTGTCACTTCATATTTGTTATCCTTAAATCTGTCACTTTTTCTCCCCTCAACTCTGTCCTTTCTCTGTTTTGTCTTGTTCCTTTTATGAAGGGAAGCATGAAGCAAGAAAACTTTATCTGCACTTTCTGTTTCAGCTCCTTTGAATTTGCGTTTGAACTCTCTCGGCTGGCCCTCAAGCACAAAACCCCCGAGGTTCATCTCAAATATGCTATGTTCCTGGAGGATGAGGTATGGGTGTGATTTGGACCCCGACCGCAGAGCCCTCTTATTCCATCCCCTAGTGCACTGCTGCTGGGTGTGCAGACCCCCAGTCTCATGCCTGCCTGTGATGCCAGTCTCCTTCTCATCATGCACGGCTGCCTTTCTCTCCCTGTAGGGTAAATTCGAAGAGGCTGAAGCTGAATTCATCAGAGCTGGTAAACCCAAGGAGGCAGTCCTCATGTGAGTTACCCCATACATTCCTTAATACTGTTTCCCCAGTCACCGTCCCAGGATCTTTCATGATTATCTTGACCTTCATTCAAACCTAGAACAAATCAGTGTTACACCCCTCAGTGACATGGCTGTTTGTCTCCCACTATTGGGGCCTCAGTCCTATACTCAGTCTCTCCTCTGTCCCCACCTGGAGGCAGGTTTGTCCATAACCAGGATTGGGAGGCAGCTCAGCGTGTGGCTGAGGCTCACGACCCTGACAGTGTCGCCGAGGTGCTTGTGGGACAGGCCCGGGGGGCCTTGGAGGAGAAGGACTTTCAGAAAGCAGAAGGGCTGCTGCTCCGGGCCCAGAGACCAGGCCTGGCCCTCAATTATTATAAGGTGGGGCACTGGATGCAGGGCCATGAGGGGAGGGGGAGAGTTTGTAAGAGCCCACAGAGAGCCACACTGACCCCTGGTATGAAGAAAGATCAGGGAGGTTAGTATTGGGGAGTGGGGAAGACAGGAAAGAGGAGGAGAAGAGAGGTCCAAGGACCCAGGAGTCTGTGGGCCAGAGTACCTGTGTGGCAGTGGGAAGCTGTCAGGCCTGCCTCTGCCCTCTTGATACCTGGAAATCTGAGCAGGAGGCTGGATTATGGAGTGACGCTCTGCGCATCTGCAAGGACTATGTGCCCAGCCAGCTGGAGGCTCTGCAGGAAGAATATGAGCGGGAAGCTACTAAGAAGGGGGCCAGGTATGAGGCCAGAGGTCCAGGCAGCATTGGCAGGGCTGGGAGGGTCATGAGGCATACACAGGATAGAGCATGCTGCCCCCCTACCATGCCAAGTCCCAGCGCTCTCATCTCCACAGGGGTGTGGAGGGATTTGTGGAACAAGCTCGACACTGGGAGCAGGCTGGAGAGTACAGCCGTGCCGTGGACTGCTACCTCAAAGTGCGAGACTCTGGAAACAGCGGCCTGGCGGAGAAGTGCTGGATGAAGGTGAGGACAGCAGGCCCTTTCTGGCCCTCCTTCTCCCTAGGCCTCTATTCACACTTGGCTCTGCTTCTCACATCTTCAGCTCTTTCCTCTTGTGTCTTTTTCTTTTCAATCAGGTAGCAGGAATCTATGGAGTGCCTGCTGGATGATAGAGCCAGAACCTCTGAAGGCTATAAAAGTGGATATAAGACAGAGCCCTGACAGCCAAAAGTTAGGGGAATTAGACCAATAAATGGCTCAATTACTATCATATCTGAGTAAAGACTAAAGTGCATGATTTAAAGTAGAGTTCAGAGAACAGTGAGATCTCTGTGGGCTAGAGGGGTCAGGAAGGCTCTGTGAAGAAGGAGGGAAGACTTGGACAGGAGCTGGAAGGGCAACTCCAGGCACAGGAACTGGCCAGACAGGGAACATGAAAAAAGCATGGGCTCCACCTCCCCCACCCAACATTTCCTGAAAAGAAGCTTCCAGCAAATTAAGCCAGGCCAGTATGTGTCACAAATAATAAGACATACTGTATTGGAGAAACCAACAGGATATATACAGTCATATGCCATATAACAACGTTTTGGTCAACAGTAGACCACATGGGTGGGCATGGTGGCTCACGCCTATAATTCTAGCACTTTGGGAAGCTGAGGTGGGTGGATCCCTTGAGGTGATCCCACGCCTGGCCTTAAATAGGTTTCAATACACAAATGCTTACCATTGTGTTATGGTTGCCTATAGGTAGTCAGTACAGAAATGTGCTGTACAGGTTTGTGGCCTAGGAGCAATAAGCTCTACGCAACCTCTACCTAGGTGTATAGTAGACTATACCATCTAGGTTTGTGCTATGATGCTTACATAATGATGAAATCCCCTAAGGACACATTTCTCAGAACATACTGATCATTAGACAATGCATGACTGTAGGTATATGTGTGTACATGTATATAAAGAGATTTATTAAAAGGAATTGGCTCATGCAGTTATGGAGATAGACAAGGCCCAAGATCTGCAGGTGAGCTGGCAAACTGAAAACCCAGGAGAACTGATGGTGTAGTTCTTGTTTGAAGGCCAGCAAGCTTGAGACCCAAGAAGAGCTGATGTTTCAGTTCAAATCTGAAGGCAGGAAAAAGCCAGTGTCCCAGTTTAAAGGCAGTCAAACAGGAAGAATTCTCTCTAACTTGGGAAGGAGCCAGCCTTTATGTTCTGTTCATGCCTTGAAATGATTGGATGAGGTCTATCCACAGTAGAGAGGGCAATTTGCTTTACTCAGTCTACCAATTTAAATGTTAACCTCATCCAAAAACACTTATAGAAACACCCAGAATAATGTTTGACCAAATACCCGGATACCCTGTAGCCCAAATTGATACATAAAGTTAACAATAACATATATATATATATATATACACACACACATACATATATATAATTATATTTTAATATATTTAAAATTGGGATGCAGGTATAGTTTAAATGACGCACCTTAGATACAGTGAAATGTGAGTGGGGGTCATGAGGGGGGTGAGATTGGCCCTCTAAATGACATATTCGTATGGTGATGCCCCTGCAAAATTTCCCTTAGGTTTTGAGGTTTTTTTGTTTGTTTGTTTATTTTGTTTGTTTGTTTTTTGAGACGGAGTCTTGCTCTGTCGCCCAGGCTGGAGTGCAGTGGTGCAATCTCGGCTCACTGCAAGCTCCGCCTCCTGGGTTTAGGCCATTCTCCTGCCACAGCCTCCTGAGTAGCTGGGACTACAGGTGCCCACCATCATGCCGGGCTAATTTTTTTGTATTTTTTTAGTAGAGACGGGGTTTCACCGTGTTAGCCAGGATGGTCTCCATCTCCTGACCTCATGATCCACAAGCCTTGGCCTCCCAAAGTGCTGGGATTACAGGCGTGAGCCACCGTGCCTGGCCTTTTGAGGTCTTAAAACTCAATAACCCCTAGAAGTTAGAGGGAGAGAAGTAGAAAGAGAGGGGCTGATGATTGGTTTTGAGGTTCTAGCAGATTTTAATCAGCAGTATTGAATAAGCATCTGATATATGTAACTTGGGAGCATGGCATGACTGTACCTTTTTCAGATTAGTCAGAAAATGGCTTCCTGATGCAGACAGGGCAGATTAAGCTTTGAAGGGCTTGGCAGTAAGAAAGGGAGGCAAGAACAGGTGAGGGAAAGACCAGAGGGGATTAGCATAAACTACAGTGAAATTGGATTGTGTGGAAATTGAAATCTGGTAAGGATGTCAGCATCATAATGGAAACAGAGTGATCTCATTGAACACTTGGGTTTGTAGAATTTCTGAGTTTTAAGTGTTGAAAGGTTATCATCAAGACCATCTATACCAGCACTGGCACTAGAAATATAATGCAGGCCACAAATGTAAGCCATACATGTCATTTAAATTTTCTAGTAGCCACATTTAAAAAGAGTAAAAAAAAAAAAAAACAGGTAAAAATAATTGTAATATATTTTATTTAACACAGTATATCTAAAATACACCATTTCATCTGGGCGCAGTGGTACATGCCTGTAATCCCAGAACTTTGGGAGGCCACGGTGGGCAGATCACTTGAGGATCAGGAGTTTGAGACCAGCCTGGCCAACATGGTGAAACCCCATCTCTACTAAAAATACAAAAATTAGCTGGGCATGGTGGTGGGTGCCTGTAATCCCAGCTACTCAGGAGGCCAAGACAAGAGAATTGCTTGAACCTGGGAGGGAGAGGTTGCAGTGAGCTGATATTGTGCCACTGCACTCCAGCCTGGGCGACATAGCAAGACTCTGTCTTAAAAAAATTAAATAAAATACTACCATTTCAACATGTACTCACACACATTATTTAGATATTTTCCATTCTTTTTTTATACTAAATCTTCAAAATCCAGTGTGTGTGAATGAAGAAACAAGTTCATAAAAGCCCAACACAAATAGTTACAGAATGCCCTGGACTCCTTATTTTAGGAGTCCTTTCTCTGTACTCTGCTACGAAGATTTTACTTATGACAAAGACCTTGAAAATGATTTTGTCAAAGGCGGAAGTTTCAAATGCAGTGACCTCAGGCAGCGCAGGAAGTATCTGAAAGAGTTAATGAACTGAGAGGAAAGATAGGTCCACTGATGGCTAATCAAAGGATCTAATGGACCATGAGCCAGGTTTTGCCCAGGAGGGTGCAAGGTTGAAGGGGAGAGTAAGAGAAAAAGTTGGCATCTGGAGGAGAAAAATGTATGAAATGGATGAGGCTGAGGACTCAGCGGTATTTGTCTCTCCTACCCATTTCCATCTTCTGTTCAACCACTCAGGCAGCTGAACTCTCCATCAAGTTTCTGCCTCCCCAACGTAATATGGAAGTCGTTCTGGCTGTAGGACCCCAGCTGATTGGAATTGGAAAGCACAGTGCAGTAAGTAGGATGCTGAGATGGAACAGAAATAGATTTCACAGAGATGGGTGCAAGGGTGACATCTACACCCAGGAAGGTGTGTGAGGTGGGCCTCCTGGTGGGCATGGCTTGCAGTCCTGGGGAAACAGATGGGAGAGCTCACAGTGGGAAGACTGGGAGCGAGGAGAAAGTCTCCACGCTGATTTCCCACTGTGCAGGCTGCAGAGCTCTATCTGAATCTGGACCTTGTCAAGGAAGCAATCGATGCTTTCATCGAGGGTGAGGAGTGGAACAAGGCGAAGCGTGTAGCTAAGGAGTTAGATCCCAGGTAAGCTTGTAACCCCTTCTTACTGCGAAATTCTCTTTTACTTCCTTTTGTAAAGACTGGGAGAAAGTCTTACCGGGAGGGTTGGTATTCTGGAACATGAAGATGGAGCTCTCTGAACATCTTCACAGGTATGAAGACTATGTGGACCAGCATTATAAAGAGTTCCTCAAGAATCAGGGCAAAGTGGACTCGGTGAGACTTGGAGAGTTAGCAGGAGGCAGAATGCAGGGAGAGACTCACAAGACTCTCTCCCTCTTCTTTCCCTCATGTCATCTCTTTTCTCTTGTAACTCTGTCTTCCATTGACCCAGCTGGTGGGTGTGGATGTGATAGCTGCTTTGGACCTGTATGTGGAGCAGGGCCAGTGGGACAAGTGCATTGAAACAGCTACCAAGCAGGTACTGCTCTCTTCCCATTCCCAGTTTTTCTTTACATTTTCCCTTGATTCCCCACCTGCCTCAAAGATGCATCTCTTCTACCTCCACAAAAACCCAAAGCCCAAAGATTTCTAATGGGCATCAGAGAAGCTCAGTCTGAAACTGGGGTCAGAGGTTTGCGTACACCCTTTTTCCCCTCAACAAATACATGGCCTCAAGTCACCTCACTGCTTGGTCTTGCCGATCCCAGCCTCACTCATGCTTTTCCTCCACCCCTGTACAGAACTACAAGATTCTGCACAAGTATGTGGCTTTGTATGCAACTCACTTGATCCGGGAGGGTAGCTCTGCCCAGGCATTGGCCCTGTATGTACAGCACGGAGCCCCTGCTAACCCACAGGTACCAGCCTTCTCCTTGGGTTGAATGTTTCCACAAGAAAGCTCTTTCTCCTCTAGAACCACCTATCTTCTCAGGAACTATCTTCTCAGAGGATTCTATCCTTAGAGAACGTCATGCCCAGAGCCCCCCACGCATCTCCAGAAATGTACAGCCTCTCTGGAGGCTGTGTATTTGCTAAGAGCATGGGGAGGTTTGCAGAAACTTCCAACTTCTGTTTGAAGAAACACCCGTGGAGCTCCCCATGCTGTTAGCAAATACACAGGCACCTGTCTTTCAGAGATGAATCCTGCATACACCTCTAGGGCCTTTATTGACTTCCTCCAGAGAATGAACACTGCTCCCTGATCTGAGTCACAATGTTGTGACTCTGCATTTACATTTGTACAGTTGCCCACACTCACACAGCACCAGCTAAGAAAGTTATTTCTTCCTCTTTTCTCTTTATCAAAAATAATCAGCACTTAAAAATAATTTACTTCATTAAAAATAATCAGCACTTAATAATCTGCCACTGTTGGCCGGGCGCAGTGGCTCACGCCTGTAATCCCAACACTTTGGGAGGCCGAGGCAGGCGGATTACGAGGTCAGGAGATCGAGACCATTGTGGCTAACACGGTGAAACCCCGTCTCTACTAAAAATATAAAAAGTTAGCTGGGCGTGGTGGCAGGCACCTATAGTCCCAGCTACTCGGGAGGCTGAGGCAGGAGAATGGCATGAACCTGGGAGGCAGAGCTTGCAGTGAGCCGAGATCATGCTACTGCACTCCAGCCTTGGGCAACAGAGCAAGACTCTGTCTCAAAAATAAATAAATAAAATTAAAAAAATAAAAATAAATAAAAATAAAAATCTGCCACTGTCCCCCAGCCCTTGCACACACACACATACCCATTTCTACACACAAAGCCTGTTTCTCCTCCCTTTGGCCCCACTTCCAGTGACTTTCTCTTCTAGCTATGCCCTTCTCAGATCCCCTTCTTCCCTCTACCTCTAGAACTTCAATATCTACAAAAGGATCTTCACTGACATGGTGAGCTCTCCTGGAACCAACTGTGCCGAGGCCTATCATAGCTGGGCTGATCTTCGAGATGTCCTCTTCAACCTGGTGAGGAAGCGAAAGGGCTGCTCCGTCTGTCCTTGTCCTCATCTCTTCTTTGATGCACATAAACCTTTATTCTCAGATGTATTTTACCTTCCTCTGCCAGGTGGCTATCAGAGACCACTCTATGGCCCTGGCACTCCTCTGACCCCTGAGCCAGGCTGTGCTGTCTCCCTCCTCTAGTGTGAAAACCTGGTGAAGTCCAGTGAGGCAAACTCTCCAGCCCATGAGGAGTTCAAGACGATGCTGCTGATCGCTCATTACTATGCCACGCGCTCTGCAGCCCAGAGTGTCAAACAGCTGGTGAGATGTAGGGGGTCGAAGGAACACTCAGTCAGAAGGGCTCATCTGCAAATGTATAAAGCTGAATTGATTCACGTTCTGGATTCTTCAGCTTGGGCTCTTGAATCTCCCCACCTGTCTTTCAGCTTCTCTTCTGTCTAAACAAATCTTTAGCCCTTGCTGAGGTTTTCTTCTTCCGACCTTTTTAGGGCTCTGTGCCCACACAGCCTCAGCCTCATTATGTTTAAACATCCAAATCCCATGATTTCTTTATTCACCTCTTATAATGTACACATATTCTGGGCTTATTTTTGACTGTTCACTGTATATTTATTTCATGTACTTGGATGATAGAATTCTAGAAGTGGAAAGAACCTTAGAAACAATCTAGGTGGGTGGGTGTGGTGGCTCACCCCTGTAATCCCAGCACTTTGGGAGGCCGAGGCGGGTGGATCACTTGAGGCCAGGAGTTCGAGACCAGCCTGGCCAACGTGGTGAAACCCCATCTCTACTAAAAACATAAAAATTAGCCAGGTTGGCCGGGCGCGGTGGCTCACGCCTGTAATCCCAGCACTTTGGGAGGCCGAGGCGGGTGGATCATGAGGTCAGGAGATCGAGACCATCCTGGCTAACAAGGTGAAACCCCGTCTCTACTAAAAATACAAAAAATTAGCCAGGCACGGTGGCGGGCGCCTGTAGTCCCAGCTACTCGGGAGGCTGAGGCAGGAGAATGGCGTGAACCCGGGAAGCGGAGCTTGCAGTGAGCCGAGATTGCGCCACTGCAGTCCGCAGTCTGGCCTGGGCGACAGAGCGAGACTCCGTCTCAAAAAAAAAAAAAAAAAAAAAAAAAAAAAATTAGCCAGGCATGGTAATGTGCGCTTGTAGTCCTAGCTACTCAGGAGGCTGAGGCACGAGAATTACTTGAATCCGGGAGGCAGAGGTTGCAGTGAGCTGAGATGGCACCACTGCACTCCAGCCTGGGCGAAAGAATTGAACCTAGGCCCAGGTGTCTTGTTCAGAGAAAAAGAAAAAAAAAACTAAGACCCAGAACAGCTTGAGAATCCAGAGCAGTTTAATAATAATTGTTGTTTTTTAGTTCTGTGGCTGCCTTACAGGATCATTGGTCTGGTAGCTCAGTCACTTTAGTGCCATATTCATAATGCTTTGACTTTAATCCCAGGAAACCGTGGCTGCCAGGCTTTCTGTTTCACTCTTGCGTCACACCCAGCTACTACCTGTAGACAAAGCCTTCTATGAAGCAGGCATTGCTGCCAAGGTGAGCTGGGACAAGGAAGGGTGGGGCAGATAGGAGGAAGTTAAAGGTTGGAAAATAGAATATCCCTTCTGCTCTGGTAGAGGAAAGCTGAGTGTAGGGCTGATGTTACGGAGGATGTAGTCCTCCTATGTCTTCCTGGATTTTTCTCCCTGGATCCCAGAGAAATAGCATTCAAGCCCAGCTTGCTCACTCCCATTTGCATCTGGATCCCAGAGAAGTAGCATTCAAACCCAGCTTGTTCACTCCCATTTGCAACTCTTCTTTGCTGCAGGCAGTTGGCTGGGATAACATGGCATTCATCTTCCTCAATCGCTTTTTGGACCTGACCGATGTGAGTAGGGAAGCTGTGCCCCGAGGGTGGAGGTTTTTGCCAGTCGCGAGCTGTGCCTAGTTCATGGTTGCCCACTCTACTGCAGGCAATCGAGGAAGGGACTCTAGATGGCCTTGACCACTCTGATTTTCAGGATACAGACATTCCCTTTGAGGTGCCACTCCCAGCTAAGCAGCATGTACCGGTAAGGGCACAGGGTTGGAAAACCGGAAGGCCTCACCAGTGTGAGTGCCTTGAGGAGGGAGAATATCTTTGTGCTGCCATCTTTGGAAGGACCTCAGCCCTCACTGTTTTTTCAGTGAAAGTAGAAGCAAAATAGAAAGAAAAGGCTGTGACTGCATCCCCCAATCCAAGGAGGATTCGTGGCTAAAAGCTGGTATACAGGATGAGGGCTTAGCAAACCCCCTCCTCACCCATCCACCCCAACTTGTCCTGCCCTGCCCTGTGTGAAGCTACCACTCCCTTCTTGTCCTTTCCAGGAGGCTGAGAGAGAAGAGGTTCGAGACTGGGTGCTTACAGTCTCCATGGACCAGCGGCTGGAGCAGGTTCTGCCTCGGGATGAGCGTGGCGCCTACGAGGCCTCCCTAGTGGCAGCGAGCACTGGTGTTCGAGCCCTGCCCTGCCTTATTACAGGTATAGAAGCCTACAGCACCCCAGATCCTGTGGTGGGTAGAAAGCAGCAGGATCAATAAACTTAATTTTACTAGGATTCAGTAAAGGGTACAAAAGACAGGACTGTGCTTTCTACCCCCCAGGCTGCTCCTCATTTTTCCCTCCTCAATCTCTCTCAAACCCCAGTTCATCATTTTTTCTTCCTCCACAGGATACCCCATTCTGAGGAACAAAATTGAATTTAAGCGGCCAGGGAAGGCTGCTAACAAGGACAACTGGAATAAATTCCTTATGGCCATCAAGGTTAGAGAGGAGGACTTGGAGAATGAAGGCAGAGAGGGCAGCACTAAAAAAAGAAAAAAAAACAAGTCTGGGTGCAGTGGCTCATACCTTTAATCCCAGCACTTTGGGAGGCCAAGGTGGGCGGATCACCTGAGGTCAGGAGTTTGAGACCAGCCTGGCCAACATGGTTAAAACCTCGTCTCTACTAAAAATACAAAAGTTAGCCGGGTCTGGTGGCGTGCACCTGTAATCCCAGCTACTCAGGAGGCTGAGGCAGGAGAATCGCTTAAACCCGAGAGGCAGAGGTTGCAGTGAGCTGAGATTGTGCCACTGCACTCCAGCCTGGGCGACAAAGCAAGACTTTGTCTCAAAACAAACAAAAAACCCACATACACACTAGAAAGATGGGTGGGATTACAGGAAGGCAGATGCAGACCCTGAAGCCTGCGATGGAGCTGATTTTGTATTTCCAGCATTAACAAGTTCCTCTCATGTTCTTCCATTTGCTCACAGACCTCCCACAGCCCAGTGTGCCAGGACGTGCTGAAATTCATCAGTCAGTGGTGTGGAGGGCTCCCCAGCACCAGCTTTTCCTTTCAGTAGTTGGTAGAGCTGAGGAAGAGTTAGGGCCTCTCCCTCATTAAAGTTTTATAAATAATTGAGACCACTGTATTCTTTGATCAAAGTCATTCCCAACACCACACAGTGCCTTTTCCCCAAAAGGAATCATAATCAAGTAGAAGAAAAGAGAAGTTACTTTATTACAATTTGTTATCTCATCCCGAGGTCAGGGCCCCTTGCTTAGTGGGAAAAAAAACCCTTTAGGACTGAGTCTCGGAACAGCACCTGCTGGACAGAGGGGAGAACCAACCCAGGTCAGAGGGGAAAGCAGCATGGCAAGACCTAGACCCAGTTCTAAGAGCACTTCCTTGTCCCCGCTCTTACCCGGGCCACCACCTTCAAGGCCCATTACCTGTCCTAAACCCAACTTCTCTGTGATGCCCGGATTTCTTGATTTTGATCCAGTAGCTGCTCATTTTCCTGCCTTTTACATTTAGGAGATTCAAGCTCTGTCATTTCCTCTAGCTGCAGAAGAAGATAGAGTTAGACACCCTCGCCCTGAATGATAGGTCAGCATCTTTTTTTTGTTTTGTTTTTTGTGACGGAGCCTCACTCTGTTGCCCAGGCTGGAGTGCAGTGGCGTGATCTCGGTTCACTGCAACCTCCGCCTTCCGGGTTCAAGCGATTCTCCTGCCTCAGCCTTCCAAGTAGCTGGGATTACAGGCGCCCACCACCCCACCTAATTTTTTGTATTTTTAGTAGAGACGAGGTTTCACCATGTTGTCCAAGCTGGTCTCAAACTCCTGACCTCAAGTGATCCGCCTGCCTCAGCCTCCCAAAGTGCTGGGATTACAGGTGTGAGCCTCCGCACCCGGCCGGTCAGCATCTTTTCAACACAGCCAGTCTCTGTGGAATGAACCCTTCCTGTTTGCCTTCCTTACCTGCCCCTGAAGTCCGTCCTTCCTGCAGGGCCCAACTCCACGTAGAGTGAGTGCAGCCACACAGCAGTAACCAGATAGAGCAGCCTCCCCTGCAGACATGAGCAAAGAAGGGATCCAGAGAGCCAAGGCTGTATCCTGAAAAGCAAGAAGGATGGGGAGTAGGAGGGAGTAGGGCAAGTGCAGCAAATAGGGGAAATTAAAAGGGCAGGACCAAGGCTTTGTAGACCACAAGAAGGAAGAGAATGTGCTCACATAGATTCTTGTGGGGTCAAAGGGGCAGTCAGTATGTCCCGGCCCCTCATCCAGTGGTACCAGAGGATCCAGCAGTCCTGGGTGGCAGTCAGCAATAAGGCGGCGGCCACCGTTGGCCACAGTGAGTGACACAGCAAGAAGGAGGCCCAGGGAGCAGGCAACGGACAAGAGCAGGTTCACCAGAGCTAGTGCCAGCAGGACCCAGTGCTGGCAGGGACAGGAGATCAGGGTGAGCAGCCTGGGCCTGGCTAACTCTCCCAGTGACTAGACACCCAGTTTCTCTGAGGCTCCTCCAATCTATTGAAAGACCAAGCTCAGTCAGCCCCCATTTCCCTGACTCAAGCCTACTCGTTAAAAGCTCCAGGGAAGTCCCTCTCACCAGTGGAGGGCGAAGAAGGTTCCTGGACGCCAGGAGGGCCACAAGTCCCACGGAAACGCTCTGTGGAAGACACAAAGCCTTTGGCCTGCTGGGCTCTCCGGGAGCCCGGCCCCCGCCCGGGTCGCCTGCCGCGCTCACCAGCAGCCCCGAGCCGACAGAGATGACATTGGCTACGGTGTACTCCGGCGTGACAGCGCCGCGGGGATTGGCCACGTGCCGCAGGACGGTGCCATGCAGCACGGCCCCCAGCAGCAGGTTCACGTGGCCCACCAAGATCAGCGCGAGGCCCACACGCATCAGCCGCCTGGGCCCCCGGGCGGCGTCTGCAAAGCACGGGGGAGGGCAGGGTTGAGTCGGGCGGGGAGGGGAGAGGCGGCTCGCGGCGGGTTAACCGCGGGCAGTAGGACGGGGCAAGGGTAGCCCCAGGGTAAGGAGACGAGACGCCAGGGCCCGGAAGTTACCGAAAGCGCAGAGACTGCAGCGCCTCATCCCGTCCGCCGCGCCAGCCGCAGGGCCGCTGTACCTGGGCCCGGCCCCGCCCCAACCTGGGCCCCGCCTCCGTCCCGGGTCCCCCTCCCACCTGGGCCCCGCCTCCGCCCCGGGCCCGCTCCCCCTGGCGGGAAAGGCGCGAACACACGACGCTTTTAGCAAAAAGTAGACTTTTATTACAGCAGCAACTGAGGCGAATCGAATGGCCCCCCAGGGCCACCACTGCAGCACCACCTTTCTCTCCCGCCCCGGCCGCCCCAGCGGGATTGTAGAATTCGGCTCCCCTAGTGCCCGTGGGCCTCCTTTCCACACAGGCTGGGCGGGAGCCGGCAGATCAGCGACTAGCCCCCAACTAGAAGGCGGCTGCTGAGAAGGCCCAGGCCCACGTCTGTGCAAAACAAGTAAACAAAGTGCAGAGGGGAGGAAGAGAGGGGAGGGGAAAGGATGATGCTCAGAACCAGGGAGCCCCCCCAGCCCTCCTGAATAATAAAGGAGGGAAGGGGCTTCACAGGGTAATACTGACTGGGGGGAAGGGACAGGAGGGCTGCAGCACGTCCAGGGACAGCCACAGCGCAGATCAGGGCCTGGCCCGAGTGAGCTCTAAGAGGAGACGGTGACAGCGGCTGAGTTGAGGGTACTGTTCCTGGCAAAATTGAACTTGTTCAAGGTCTCTTCTAGCAGAGAAGTCAACCGGCTCTGGTCAGCCTGGGGGAGAAGAGCTCAGTAAGATGGGGGCTGAGAGAAGAGAAGGCATGGGGGCAGCCAGGGCAGATGAAGGCAGAAACCTCACCTCACTAATGAAGCCCAGCTGCACCAGCTCAGCCGCCAACTCGGGGATATTCTCATCTGACAAAGAAACAGGAGGGGGTGAGTACAGTACGGGACTGAGGGACCTGGGGCCCTTCAGACAGCCCCACTAGGGCTAAACTGTCAGTCAGATCCACCCACTGCTTTAGGGTCTAAGATAGTCATTCTATGTGAGTCAATGTGTTACTGCCTTGTCACCTCCCCCACCCCTGAATATGTCCCTAAAAGATAAGGCTCATAGACTCTCCATCCTCTGAGGGAAAGGAGAGACTCACTTGGCATCAGGTCACAGCTCAGGTGCCGGTTCAGTTTGTCCTCCAACTTCAGCAGAAGTGTCAGCTGGAGAATAGGACAGTCAGAAAATGAGACTTTTCTTCCCTACCCTCTGGCTACTAGCCCTGCGCAACCCTAGCCCTGAGCCTTACGTGGTGTTTGACTCCCTCCTCCACCGACTCAATGTTGCACTGCATCAGCACCACCTAGGGAGGGAAGAGAGGGTCACTCTAGAGACCTGTCCATAAAAAACCCAATACCTAGACGTCTTTCGAGCCCATAGGGCATGGCTGCTAGGGAGCATTTTCTCTAAAGGATAGAGCCTTATTTGAGATGTCCTCTCTCCCTTCCACCACAACCATGGAGACAATCCACACCCACACAGCCCCCACCTTGCGAGTCTCCACCTCAGCTGGTTCAGGTGTCGGAGTCTTGACAGAGGGGGGCACGACAGGTGATGTCACCTCCTCCTGCTGTGGCTGCTGGGGCCGAGGCAGCCCAAAGGCTGTCAGAGGATAGATCCCATTCCTGGAGGGAGATGAAGACAGGTCACATGGGCTCTGTGAACGCCTTAGGATACCCAACCCCGCCTGCTTCCTCAAGAAAGCCTGCTTCTCACTCTGCTCTCACCTGACATCTTCAAGGAATTTATCTAATTCCAGAGCTGGTGACTGAGAGTACCTGGACGAGAAAAGAGAAAGGAGATGGAAGGAAAGAAACAAGCAAAATAGCAAATTCAAGCATTCCCAGAGAATGGACAGTTTACAGAGCCTCAAGAGTGGTCGTGACCAATCTGCCCCTTTCAGACCCTCTCAGTTACTCACAAAGTCTGAACTGGTTCTCTTCCTGGTCCTGCAGGGATTTCAGCCAGTACGGCACTAGTATCCATGTTTTTGGTGATCTCCTCTAGAGCGTTCTCTGGGATCATGTCTGGAGGGCATGATGGAGTGGGATATTATGAAGGGATAGTCAGATTAAATGTCAAAGAAGGCATGCAGGCAAAGGGGTAAAGAATCCCTTTGGAGGCCTGGCACAGTGGCTCATGCCTGTAATCCCAGCACTTTGGGAAGCCGAGGCGGACAGATCACTTGACGCCAGTTCAAGACCAGCCTGGCCAACATGGCGAAACCCCATCTCTACTAAAAGTACAAAAATTACCCAGGCATGGTGGCACATGCCTGTAATCCCAGCTCTTCGGGAGGCTAAGGCACAAGAATCGCTTGAGCCTGGGAGCTGGAGGTTGCAATGAGCTGAGATCAAGCCATTGCACTCCAGCCTGAGAGAGAGTGAGACTCTGTCTCAAAAAAAAAAAAAAAAAAAAAAAAAAAAAAAAAAAAGAATCCCTTTGGAAATAAAGAGGAAAACAAGCATGCCAGTGATAGTTACAGGGCTCCAGATTGGAAGACTATTCCCCATAGGGCCAAGACGACTCACGTTGGTGTCCCACAATGCAGTGGGCCGCAAGGAGTTTGAGCGAGGGCACTTCAAACAATGCTGGGTGGAACAGAAGTTCTCTGGCTGTTGGTCTGCGAGCAGGCTCAGACTGCAGGCACTTTTGAATGAACTCCTAGAAAAGGAAACAAGGAACTGGAGCAGGCATCTGGCAAGCCCCCAGTGTGTTCATCTTTATAGCTCTCATTCTACTTAGCACAAGGCTTTGTACATAGTAGGTGCTCAGCACTTGCTGAGAAAACAATATATTGAAAAATGCACCTGAAAGGGCTTCAAAAACTGTAAGATATTATATGAAAGATACCATCCACTGCCTTTCTGGTTTTAATTATTTTTCTGCTCTCCAACCACAAGCTTTCTTTTTTAATGTTCACAATTTTTTTTTTTTTTTTTTTTGAGACGGAGTCTCGCTCTGTCGCCCAGGCTGGAGTGCAGTGGCGCAATCTCAGCTCACTGCAACCTCTGCCTACCGGGTTCACGCCATTCTCCTGCCTCAGCCTCCCGAGTAGCTGGGACTACAGGTGCCCACCACCATGCCCGGCTAATTTTTTGTATTTTCAGTAGAGACGGTTTCACCATGTTAGCCAGGATGGTCTCAATCTCCTGACCTCGTGATCCACCCGCCTCAGCCTCCCAAAGTGCCGGTATTACAGGCATGAGACACCGCGCCCGGCCCCACACTTTCTTTTTCCTTAGTTTCTACCTCTCTGCTTTATTAGTCAACTCACTGCCTATCTTCTTTTCTAAATCTTGCCAAATTTAGCTTCTCTCTTCCCAAACTTACCCAATGTGATCAATATTCACCATTTTTTTATTTCACAAGCCTAGTATCACAATTTCCTTTGCCCACAATCACTGAATTCACCGAATTTCCCAGGATTCCTCTAACGATTCTGCCTTATTTTCTTTCTTTCTTTTTTCTGAGACAGGGTCTTGCTGTGCCAACCAGGCTGGAGTACAGTGGCACAATCACAGCTCACTGCTGCCTCAACCTCCTGGGCTCAAGCAATCCTCCCACTTCAGCTTCCAGAGTAGCTGGGACCACAGGCATGTGCCACCATACCCAGATAATTTTTATTTTTTCATAGAGATAGGGTTTTACCACGTTGCCCAGGCTAGTCTCGAACTCCTGAGCTCAAGTGATCCTCCCACCTCAGCCTCCAAAAGTGCTGGGATTAAAAGTATGAGCCACCATGTTCCACCACCGCCTCCTTTTCTACCTCCTGCATGTCCCATGACAATTAACCTGCTTTCCTGCTTTTAACCTTGAAGGCTAACAAGGTCACATACCTAATCTTTCACTTGAATACTCCACCTCAATGTTGAAGTAGAAACTTACTCCACACTATCCTCCTGACTTCCCACTAGTCTTCTTTTCTCTCCTGTTCCCTACTATACTTATCTAATGAGTTACAAACTGTTCTTGTTTGGACCTTCCTGCCCAGGCTCTGCTTACTATAGTCTATCAACTGATTCATAACCTTATGTCTTTTAAATCTTAGCTCATTATTTCAGGCCACCGTCCCTAACTAAAACTGTATAAATATAAAATCCCAAACAACTGGTTTAATTTAAATTGACTGATGTGCTTAAAAATATAAAAATGGCTGTCTGAGAGTATACAGCAATGGCCTGAAGTAACCATCAAATTAATTTACCTCCATGTAGACACATTCAAATTAACATACTTTTTTTTTTTTTTTGAGACAGTCTCGCTCTCTTGCCCCAGCTGGAGTGCAGTGGCCCAATCTCAGCTCACTGCAATCTCCGCCTCCCGGGTTCAAGCTTGCCTCAGCCTCCCGAGTAGGTGAGACTACAGGCACACACCACCATGCCCAGCTAATTTTTGTATTTTTAGTAGAGACAGGGTTTCACCATGTTGGCCAGGCTGGTCTCAAACTCCTGACCTCAAGTGATCCACCCGCCTCAGCCTCTCAAAGTGCTGGGATTACAGGTGTGAGCCACTGCACCCAGCCAACACACAACTTTTTTTTTTTTCTTTTTTTCTGAGACGGAGTCTACCTGTGTCGCCCAGGCTGGAGTGCAGTGGCGCGATCTCAGCTCACTGCAAGCTTTGCCTCCCGGGTTCATGCCATTCTCCTGCCTCAGCCTCCTGAGTAGCTGGGACTACAGGCTCCCGCCACCAAGCCTGGCTAATTTTTTTTGTATTTTTAGTAGAGACAGGGTTTCACCATGTTAGCCAGGATGGTCTCGATCCCCTGACCTCGTGATCCGCCCGCCTCGGCCTCCCAAAGTGCTGGGATTACAGGCGTGAGCCACCATGCCCGGCTTCCAACACACAACTTTTAACCCCAGCATCATCCATCTTAACCCCCTTACCTGTGTGTTTCTATGCAAAAACATGGTAGGCACCTCCTAAGAAAATGTTTATAGATTTTTCGTGTCCTTTCTGTTATGTTCCCTAGCTCTTAGGAGCATATACCCAGTGGGTACAAAGGAAGAAAAACCAGAAGACATTTGAAGGTCAGTTGAGGAGGGAGTGATCCTGAAGATCCTTACCCTCTGTAATGGGTCTTCTAGAAGCTGGATGGCACTGCTGATGGCTTCCTGTGGCACATATGAGGACTCTCCATTGCCCTGAATCTCCAGCACTGCCATCTTCAGTGAGGAAGAATAAAAAAAAAAGTAGACACCTAAGAACTTCAGTGCTCCCACAATCACTCCCTCCAAGCCAGCGCCTTACTTGTCTTCCCTCCATTCCCAATTCCATCTTCTCATCTGACCCCTTTCCCCCCTCCCCTCCAGTCCCCTCACCTCCAGTGCACACATGCCAAAGGAGTAGATGTCCACTGCTGTTGTCACATTAGTGACTTCTAGGGAAAACAGAGAAGGCTTTGGTTAATCAGAGGATTGGGGGCTAGGGTTGGCAGGAATGCCTTAGGAAAAAAAAAAAAGAAAAGAAAAATATTTTGTATGCTGGTAGAGAAGGCCTAGAAGTTTCAGTTATATTGCCTCTGTACCTCAAGTTATAAGGTGCAAAAGCAGGGGGATGAGGACAGGGCAGAGAAAGCAGGAAGGCTCACCTCCATACTCTGGTGCAAAGAAGTGTAGATTCTTCTGCTCTTCTCGACAAGTCTTCACATGATTGTTGATAGTGTCAGGAGCCACTGGGAGTAGGGGAGACACCCACAATCTGACCATCATCAATGAAGAATAGTCTCACTCCAGAGAGAGGCCCCAAAAGCCAAATTCTCTCCTGAAGTCTCCTTTCTGATGACCCTCAACAGGCACAAACATATTCCCTTTCCTGTCCTGAACTACAGACCACACATGGATGCCACCTACCTCCCCTTTCTTAGGCCTACTGCTTCTCATCTAATGTCCCTAAATCAGGAGCAACAAAAGCACCAGACTAAATTAACAGATACACAGGGGCTTCAGGCTGGTCTAGAAGCAATGAAGTTTAAGGAAAAATTTTCACTTGTACTGCGTTCACCTTCCCTAAATCCCAGGTACCTCTAATCCCTGCTCACATGAAAATATTTGGTTTTAGTTTTTTCATCCACCCTGCAAATAACATAAAAACACAGGCAGCCCTTCCTAATCTGGGACAATTGGAGACCTCAGGAACTTGGATAAATAAGGATAAGAAGTATTAACATACAGCTCAGGAGGTAGCCTCCTTCTTACCCACCTTTGCTGAGTGAAACTCAAAACAGCTCAGAATTGAGCTAATACCCTTGAATCTGTTCCACTTTTAATCCACCAAAACATTTTAGACTCCTGTTCTACCCCCTTATTCCTCAACACTGTCTGCCACAGAGCTGAACGAGGAACCAGGACCAGGCCCAATTTGGACTCACTCAGATCATAAACAATGACTACAAGTCACAGAGAATCTGGGAGCACAGTATGATCTGGGAACTAGCCTGATGATGAGGGAGAACATGAATCCAGGAGGTAAGTGGCCAGCCAGGCAGAATCCACAGGAAACAAGCAGGTTATGAAGGGGCAAGCAGGCGGAGGGCTGGCAGGGCAGAAGCTAAGCAGGCATAATTAGGCAGGGAAGATAGGGGAAGAGGGTTTGCTCCCACGACTGCATGCACTGGGCAGCCGCCAAGGGAGCAGAGGGAGCACAAACAGAGCCCCAAGTGGGGCAGAGGGAGCTCTCACCATTAGCAAAAATCCTATGAAAGACTGTTGGGAACAGAGCAGCCCGTAAGCGGGAGGGAGGAAAACAGAGAAAAGTTGTGAGCGATGGAGCAGCCAAGCCCCAGACAAATGGACACACAAATACCACACAGACACAGCACACAGAAATGTTGTACACTGCATACAATACACAGCAAACGAAAGCACTCACAGCAGGAACAGCCTGGAACCTCCTCTGGCAGGGTCTGGCCCCAGGACTCAAATCAAACCTCAAACCTATCTCTTGCCCTTTCCCAGCCTCTTATCAGTATCTCTGTATTAACCCCAATTTTCCCTTCAAAAAGGTGTAAGATTATATATCCTACCCCCTCTCCACTAATTAACTGGCCTCTCCTATTAATTACTCCTAGCAAGGTCCTTTCTCTTCTCACCAGCCCACACCTCAGAATTTTGCTCTGTTATCCCCCATTCCTTTCATCTTACCCCCATGGTTCCCAAATTCCCGAGGCTCCCCTGCCCAGAACCTCTCCCTCCCCTCACCAGAGCCAATCTTGATGAGTCCGTTGTGCTGGATGAAGATGGTGTCACAGGTCAGGTTCCCATGGATGATGGGGGGGTCACAGGAGTGCAGGTAGCTGTGGGGGCACTGGGCTGTTAGAGGGGCCACTGGGAAATTAAGGGCAGGGGGAACCCAAGGGTTAAGAGGAGCAAGGGCCAGGTCTCCTGCTGGTCACCATAAAGATAATCCCCACACTCTGAATCTCCATTATGCCTGATGATTTAAATAGCTGGATAAGCACTAGGAGAAAGAGGTAGGAGATAAGTGTCGTGGTTAGGGCATTAGGACGCACCCTTTAAAAGACCCGTAGGGGCCCTAATCTTGACAGTATATGATTCAAAGAAAGTGGGGAGAGGCAGAATAGAACAGAAGAGTAGTGCCCTGAAATCTGTTTGGAGTAACTACATCAGGAAATATGGGTAAGAAACTAACCAGGTACTACTTACCTTAGGGCAGAGAGGATTTGTGTGCACCAACGCTTCCATGCCTGGAACAAAGTTGGATCCAAGGGTCAGCAGTAATTCCCTCTCTTAACTCTCTCCCACTAGCTCCTTCCGTCCCTTCCTGATCAGCTTCATTATTAACAGAGTCCTTTTTAAAACCACCCCCAAAAACCAGCCTCAAACTTTGTCTGCTCTCCTTCTATACCTTTTCATTCATCGTCTTGTGGTTCTTTTTGGTCTTCTTCAGAAATTGCTTCAGACTCCCAGATGACATGTATTCTGTGATAAAAATGACCTGGGGAGGCAAAGCACTTACTAAAAGGCCTTATAGTAGAAATGATCCCTTCCCTTGTTAACATATTTTAAATTTGAAGGTTTGTTAAAATTTCTCTCCTTTTGTTCTTAGCTTTACTTACTTAGACTAAATAGGGCAATGAAAACAAGCAATGAAAGTTATGGGAAGAAAGAAGCAAAAGTTCACTCATTTTCTGCCCAATCTATAGCCACACAAAAGGCATAGGTGACAACTGAAGCCCTACTCTTATCGCCATTGCAGCTGATTCCAGTTCTGTTTCAAAACTACCTTGTTTTAATCTCTGAGTGTAAAAGGAACAATAATAAATGTAGCTAGTCTCTTTGCAATAAGTTCAGGAAATATGGGGAAAAAATTCTTACCCTGGCCTTGTTCTCTTTAATGTCAGCCCAATATTTGTGAAACTTAACAATGTTAAGATGCTCCAATTGAATCAGATTATCAAACACAGCACGAACCTTTTCCTGAAAGCAAGGGAGACAGTGGAATAACAGAGTCACAAATCACTGTAATAATCCTGAGAAGCCATTCCCTATCCCTCCCCAGAAACGATCTAACCCCAACATACTCTCCTCACGGGCAGCTTCCCAACACCAATTCCTCTCTAACATCAGTGTTCCAACATTCCCCAGGCTTCACCTTTTCAGCATCACCTACCTCCTGCAGCTTGTAGTTCTTGCGTTCAGAGAACTGTACCTCATTCCACACAACCTCTACACCTTCCTCTGTATCCATGGCCAGGTATGCACTGTCAATACCTGGTACATTCCGTTGATTCACCTGAGAAGAAATTCATATGAAAGAGAATTAAACTTATCTCACAAATCCTCCATTTTAACACTCCATATGATCATCTCCTCCTAGCCCCCAACCTATTGAAGTTTGGTTGGCCTCTTTTAAGACTTTGCTCTTCCAGTTCTCACCTTTCCAGAATTCACTCACCCAAGAGTAACTGTACCATAACCTTACCTCTTCTCGCCTCTTCTGCCAGCGCCCACAGGGCGACTCTTCCAAAATCTCAGACTCATCTTCACTTTCTTCTTCTTCCTCTGGGGAAGCAGCTGAGGTTGTGGAGGTCACAGGAGGTGACACTGATGTCAGGCCAGGAGCTGAAGATGAGGATTCTACCTTTGGGTCTGAGCCACTGCTAAGTACTGTCTGGGACTCCCCCTCCGACATGCTGGAAGGAACACTCAGGCCTGCACTGGTTGGGGCAAATACAGAGGGAAAAGGCAGAGAAAGTCAGGATACATCTGTAAAGATTTAGTAATCCAGGCTGGACGTGGTGGCTCATGCCTGTAATCCCAGCACTTTGGGAGGCTGAGGTGGGCAGATCACCTGAGGTCAGGAGTTCAAGACCAGCCTGATCAACATGGTGAAACCCCATCTCTACTAAAAATACAAAATTAGCTGGGTGTGGTGACGCGTGCCTGTAGTCCTAGCTACTCAGGAGACTAAGGCAGGAGAATTTTTTTGAACCAGGGAGGTGGAGGTTGCAGTGAGCTGAGATCACGCCACTGCACTCCAGCCTGGGTGACAGAGCAAGACCCCATCTCAAAAAAAAATTTAGTAATCCAGCTGAGCACAGTGGCTCACCTCTGTAATCCCAGCACTTTGAGAAGCCGAGGCAAGAGGTTCATTTGAGGCCAGGTGTTTGAGACCAGCCTGGGCAACAAAGTGAGACCCCATCTTTACAAAAAAATTTAAAAATTAGCAGGGCAAGGTGGTACACAGCTATAGTCCCAGCTACCCGAGAGGCTGATGGGAGAATCACTTGATTGCCCAGGAGTTTGAGGCTGCAGTGAGCTATGATCATGCCATTGGCTAGGCAACAGAGGGAGACCCTGTCTCAACAAAAAACAAACAAACAAAAAAAAAGATTTAATAATCCTAATACTTATCTGCAAATTCAAAAGAAAATAAAACAGGCCAGGCATTTGAGACCAGCCTGGACAACATAAAAAGACCCCAGTCTCTACACAAAACTTTTAAAAATTAAAAATAGAAAACACACACCACCTTTGTTTCCTTTAAATCCAAAATCAGAATCAGTCCTAAATACTGAAACATTAACTATTCTCCTAACTCTAGTCTAGAAAAGGGGAGCTATCTTAGTTGAAGATGACCCTCCCAGGAATGACAAACACAAGATTTATGGCAGTCTAATCCCACTTAGAGTAAGGTTCAAATCACCAGCAAAATCAGGTGCTCCATTCCTTCTTGGCAAATACTCATCCAATAGGCTTCCCTTTGAATCCCCAAGTACACCCTATTTTTACTGTGCTCAAGAATTAAGCTATGTGTGGACGGGCACAGTGGCTCACGCCTTTAATCCCAACACTTTGGGAGGCCGAGGTAGGTGGATTACCTGAGGTCAGGAGTTCGAGACCAGCCTGACCAACATGGCAAAACCCTGTCTCTACTAAAAATAAAAAAATTAGCTGGGTGTGGTGGCACGCACCTGTAGTCCCAGCTACTCAGGAGGCTGAGGCAGGAGAATCACTTGAACCCGGGAGGCAGAGGTTGCAGTGAGCTGAGATCGTGCCACTGCACTCCAGCTTGGGCAACAGAGTGAGACTCTGTCTCAAAAAATAAAAAAATATAAACTATGTGGGCGCTATTCAGAACAGATGACTCCAGACTCCAAAATGTTTCAGTGAGACAGCCTTAAGGCTAGACCTGTAGCACCCTCAGCCAACTTATCCAGCTGAAACCCTTGGCTAATTTATCCAGCTAGAACTAACCTTGGCATTCACTATCCATCCCTTCTCTACACAGAACAAGCCCACTAGTCCATGGTGAGGCTACCCTTGGGGCACATGACTGGCAGTTGTTAGTGACTTCATCCCTGATGACCTCACCTTTCCTGTGATGTGAGTGTGACAAATGGGTATTGGTTAACAACATTTTTTTTTTCATTCACTCATTTAACAGATGTTTTATTAAGCATTTATTGTGGGCCAAGCACTGGGCTAAGTCCTTGAGATACAATAACAAACAAAATAAATGCCCACATTCAAGCAGCCACAAATTCAAGCCAGAGCTAAGACTTTAAGCTTCCAGCTTTCATTTCATTCACATTGCTCAAAGGCTCTGAAGTTTCCATTCTCTGGGGGACTAGATCTGATATAGGTTATTTATTTTTTGGCAGAGGGGATGGAGTCTCACTCTGTCACCCAGGCTGGAGTGCCGTGGTGCAATCTCGGCTCACTGCAACCTCCGCCTCCCAGGTTCAAGCGATTCTCCTGCCTCAGCCTCCCGAGTAGCTGGGACTACGGGCACGTGCCACCACACCCAGCTAATTTTTTGTATTTTTAGTAGAGATGGGGTTTCACCGTGTTAGCCAGGATGGTTTCAATCTCCTGACTTCATGATCCGCCCGCCTCAGCCTCCCAAAGTGCTGGGATTACAGGCGTGAGCCACCACACCCAGCCTAGGTTATTTCTTACAAGTATAAATAACTCAAGGTACAACTTTTATAGGAAAAAGTATTATACAGCATAACATTTTCAGGGTCATGGGTACTTGAAGAAAAAGAATTATTGAGAGCTAAATGCCATTAACTTGTACAAAAAGTCACAAGACAACCACTTAATGTTATTTCATATCTCTAAGAATAAAGACTGTGAAGGAGTTGGAACCTGTGTGTGCTCAGCTCAAGAGAGTTCTCTACAGTATGAAAGAGATACCCTGGGCCAGGCAAGCTGGCCCACGCCTGTAATCCCAGCACTTTGGGAGATGGTGGCAGGCAGATTGCTTGAGCTCAAGAGTTCGAGACCAGCCTGGGCAACAAAAAAATACAAAAATATACAAAAATTAGCAGGGTGTGGTGGCGCACGTCTATAATTCCAGCTTATTCAAGAGGCTGAAGCACGAGAATCACTTGAACTCAGGAGGCGGAGGTTGCAGTGAGCCCAGATGGCGCCACTGCACTCCAGCCTGGGTGACAGAGTGAGACTATGACTCAAAAAAAAAAAAAAAAAGAAAAAAAGAAAGAAAAGAAAAAGAAACTGATACCCTGGAAACTAAATGTGCTCCTCTAAGTTCAGAAGTCTCCAGTCAACACACCAATCTTTTGAAAAGCCCACATTTATTTTTAGAACTCTCTGATGCCCATTTGTGCCCATCTCTGCCCCCAATCTACACTACGTTTAACTCAACTCAGGAGATTTTTATTAGAAGACAGTCTAGTAAATACCAAAGAGCAATAGGCAGTACAGAGGAAATCTGGCAAGATATTCTTTCCCTATGTTATTTTCTAGATCCTGACTTATTCTAGAGAGATTTGCCAGGCGCGCTGGCTCATGCCTGTAATCCCAGCTACTTAGGAGGCTGAAGTGGGAGGATCGCTGGAGAGGGATTTAACTCAGCCAGCCAGGAAAGCTACTATCTGCCTGTTTTAGTAATCTACCAGAAAACTTCTGTTAGAGATCATGTTCCTTCTTCTGAAAAGTAGCTAAGAAAATGGTAAGACACTATTAGTTACTTCCTTGAGCAGCTGCATTCACTGAATGCATCTAAAATCTGAACAACTAAATAAAATTCCCAGCCAGACTACAGTAGGAAATAACAGTAGAATTCTAATACAGGAAAGCTGTAGCCAATGGGCTCCAGAGAAACTTCTGGACCGAGGACACAAATAACTAATCCACAGTAGGGCACCACAGGAGACACCAACCCTTCATCAGAGATAGATGCCCTTGGAATTTGCTTATCCCCCCCACCTTCCTAATTTTTGTGACTTTTTATCCCTTCCTAATTTTTCCTTCGCAGGCAAAATGAGGGCAGTGCCCAAGATTCTCCAGCACTACTCCTATTGATGAAGAAACCTCTGCGACACTGGGAGTTTTGTCTCGGAGCCGCTGAGAGGTTTTAAAGAGATAACACATGGAAAAGCTCATATACTCCCATAAGGGGATTCTCGCCGCCTCCAGCCACCCTGAGACATGCAGTGTGTTCACTTTGGAGTAATGCAGATCGCCCTGCAAAGTTTTTCCCCGACACTTTCGTTTATTGGACAGCAGCCCCTCTGCGTGTCAACTCCTCTGCAAGAGCTCACGGGCCCAGGCCTCTCAGCTGTCCTCACCCTGAACGGACCAGAGGGCCTCTGAGACCCGCAGCACAGTCCAGTCGGAAATAAAACCGCTCTGGGGAGGAACCCGGCCCCTAGAATTTCACACTCCAACAGGTCGCATGCCCTGCGTCTGGAAGGCAGCCGCGGCCCGCGCGGGAACCAGGCTGGGGCCCAGGGAGCCAGCGGCGGCCACCTCATCAAAGGCCGGACCGACAGCGCAGTCAGGGGCGCAGGCCACGCCCCCGCGCAGTCTGCGCACCTCCCCGCGAGCAGGCCAGGCCAGGCCGCCGAGCTTCCGCAGGCCGCCGGGCCGCGACCGCCGCCCCCGCCCCCGCCCCCACCCGCCGGGCCCCGCCTCTCGCAGCCGGAGTTCCAAGCGAACGCCAGGGCCTCCCGACCCGCGCCCGCAGAATCCCGGGGCGCCGCCGCCAAGCCAGAGACGCCAGGGAGGGCTAAGCAGCGACTGCGGGGCCGAAGCGGCCCCTCGGCTCCAGCAGGCAGGGCCCGATCGGGCCTGGGCTACTGAGTGAGCAGGGCCGCCTTCAGCACCCGACTGGCGGGTCCCACCGTCCCGGGCCTCGGAGGCCGATCCTTCCGTCCTCTCGCGAACCCCTCCCTCCCGGGCCCTCTTTTCCCTGGGCGCTCACCTCCCGACTCCGCGCCCCGCAGCCTGCGCTTCAGCTCCAGCTCGGGTTCCGGGGCCCCGGATCACAGCGACTCCCTCACAGCTGCGCTCCGCAGCGCAACCGAACTGCGGGCCCCGCCCTCGCGGCGCCCGGACCAACGATGGGCGGTGCCGCACCGCCGGCAGGTTTCCATTGGGTGACGTTCTGGGTGGGCGGGGCCCGGCCCTCGGGCGTTCGCTGGGGTGGGCTTCCACCCGCTCTCCTCCCCTTGCGCCGGTCCGGCCGAGACCTCTCGGAGGGGTCGATGTTTTCGGTCCCAGCTGGGGCTCGTCTCTCTGTCCACCCCACCGCCCGGTCCAGGTGCCCCAGATGGTTCTGCTGGACGCAGAGAGGGCCTCCTACCTCTTCTTGAAGGCGCCATGACAGTTCTAATGCCTGGAAAAGACAAAAGGAGCGAAAGACATAGCCTCAGTCCGAGAGGAGCGCCCCCACCCCAGCCCCCGCCTGCATTATTTTGGAACGAGACTGGTGTGCAGGACGCCAATTCTCCGGAAAGCTTTTAAAATTTACCTAACACTGAAAATTAGTAGTTAACGCTTGGTGATTGCTTAGCACTATTTGCTTAAACTTTGTAAGAGGTTTTCACAGATGTTATTTCATTTGATCCTCATAAGAACGAACTCATTGAAATTATCATTCAATGGTAGTTGACAAATGCAAAAACCTGAATCAGAGGTATTAAGCTATTAACCGAAAGTTAAGTTGGTAAGAGCCAAGTCTAGAATCCGAAACAGTAAATTTCATCAAAGGAGACTACGTTGAGAAGATGTTTGGAAAGAATTTAGATTGGTTTCGAGTTAGTGGAAAGAAAAGATGATAAATTCTTGGTGAGCTATTAATCTGCGAAAACTAAGCGCGGAGCCTTCAGGATGGAAGTTCACTCTGCCCTTAGACGTGTATGATGGAGGGAAGATGATGAATCAATCAACAGAACTTGGAAATGTCACAATCACCAAATTTTACTGTCATTAAAGAGAATCTCTAATCCTGTTTCACTGGGAGAAAGGACAACTGGCAGAAACCCTCTCGTTTTCTCATCATCTCAAAATACTCGTTTTTAAAACCAATCTTTCGGCCGGGCGCGGTGGCTCACGCCCAGCACTTTGGGAGGCCGAGGTGGGCGGATCACTTGAGGTCAGGAGTTCGAGACCAGCCTGCTCAATGTAGTAAAACTCCGTCTCTACTAAAAATACAAAAATTAGCCGGGCGAGGTAGCACATGTCTGTTCTCTCAAGCTGCTTGGGAGGCTGAGGCGGGAAGATCACTTGAGCCCAGGAGGCAGAGGTTGCAGTAGGCCAAGACTGCACGACTACGCTCCAGCCTGGGCAACAGAGTGTGAGAATCCGTCTCAAAAAAAAAAAAAAAAAAAAAAAAAAAAAAATATATATATATATATATATATATATATATATATATATATATATGTATGTATGTTTTACCCTTTCTTCCTTGATTCTTCTATCTTTGGAAGAGGGGGGCTCAAACACCCTTTTTAAAATCTGATGTAACTTATGGGCCTTCTCTTGTACTTTAAAAAATGCACTTACCCAACAAATTTAGGATATAATTTCAGGAAACTGAGGTTAAGAATCTTTGCTCTGGGCTGGGCGCGATGGCTCATGCCTGTAATACCAGCACTTTGGGAGACTGAGGCGGGCGGATCATTTGAGGTCAGGAGTTCAAAACCAGCCTGGCCAGCATGGTGAAACCTCGTCTCTACTAAAAATACAAAAATTAGTCAGGCGTGCTTGTGGGCGCCTGTAATCCCAGCTACTCAGGAGGCTGAGGCAGGAGAATCACTTGAACCCGGGAGGCAGAGGTTGCTGTTAGCTGAGATCAGGCCACTGTACTCCAGCCTGGGCGACAAGAGCAAGACTCCACCTAAAAAATAAATAAATAAATAAATAAAATAATTTCTTGGTTCTAATCTCAAAGGAAAAGATTAACCTTTCCTTCCTGTGGGCTCAAAAGCAATTGGAACACCTGGCCCAGGGTAAACATTCATTAAATATCAGTTCATGTTATCATTAGAGTTTCCCATTCTCTTCTGCCTGGGGCTTTATCATTATCAACCTTCCGCTTTCAACTAGGTCCTTTCAAGTATGCATGGAGGACCCTTTGGCATCCTCTAGCTCTCATTTTTAACCCTTCATTACATTTAAAATGATCAAATACTACCTGCATTTTCACCACCTCATGTATTTATTTTTTCCTGCTTATAAAAATAATTCATGCTCATTGCCAAAAAACAACGCAAAAATATTCCCAAAACTATTTTAGTATAATGTAATATTTATATAGTAGCTTCTATGTGTTAGGCACTTTTAATTGCTTTATGACAACAATGCTGACAACAGTAATATGAATATTAACAATTTCTGTAGAAAGTGAAATCTCTTATAATCCTACTTCCCCCGATAATTAAGACTTTGGTGTATTTTTTTTTTTTTGAGGTGGAGTCTCGCTCCATTGCCCAGGCTGGAGTGCAGTGGCACGATCTTGGCTCACTGCAACCTCCACCTCCCAAGTTCAAGAGATTCTCCTGGCCTCAGCCTCCCGAATAGCTGGGACTACAGGCGTGTGCCACCATGCCTGGCTAATTTTTTGTATATTTAGTAGAGACGAGGTTTCACCGTGTTAGCCAGGATGGTCTCGATCTTCTGACCTCGTGATCTGCCCACCTTGGCCTCCCAAAGTGCTGGGATTACAGACATGAGCCACCGCGCCTGACCTTTTATTTTTATTTTTCTAAGTATATATTCACATATGTGTATATAATTTTAAATGAAAACAAGTTTATACTACATAACCTTTTTCACTTTTTTCTATGGCAATGCACATGGCCCTACTTTAATTTTTTAACCACTACTTTAATTTTTTACTTTACTTGGGTTTTTTTTTGTTGTTGTCTTTTTGTTTTGTTTTGTTTTGTTTTTGAGATGGAGTCTTGCTCTGTCGCCAGGCTGGAGTGCAGTGGCGCAGTCGTGGCTCACTGCAACCTCCGCCTCCTGGGTTCAAGCGATTCTCCTGCCTCAGCCTCCCTAGTAGCTGGGATTACAGGCACGCACCACCATGCCCAGCTAATTTTTGTATTTTTAGTAGAGATGGGGTTTCACCATGTCGGCCAGGCTGGTCTTGAACTCCTGACCTCGTGATCCGCCTGCCTCGGCCTCCCAAAGTGCTGGGATTACAGGTGTGAGCCACTGCACCCAGCCTTTTTTTTTTTTAAGACAGGAATCTCACTCCGTCACCCAGGCTGGAGTGTGGTGACTCAGTCTCGGCTAACTGCCACCTCCACCTCCCAGGTTCAAGCGATTCTCGTGCCTCAGCCTCCCAAGTAGCTGGGACTACAGGCATGTGCCACCATGCCCGACTAATTTTTATATTTTTAGTAGAGAGAGAGTTTTACCATGTTGCCGAGGCTGGTCTTGAACTTCTGAACTCGGGCAATCCGCCCGCCTTGGCCTACCAAAGTGCTAGGATTACAGGTGTGAACCACCGTGCCCGACCCTTTACTGGTTAATTTTTAACCAGCAGAATATTCCACTGTCCAAATATGCCAGCATTTAATTAGTAACTACCTGTGGACATTGGGATAACATTCATCATTTATTATTATAAATAAAGCAGCAATGAGCATTTAGCTACATATATCTTTTTTTTTTTTTTTTTTTTTTTTTTTTTTTGTGAGATGGAGTCTCACTCTGTTACCCAGGCTAGAGTTCAGTGGCACAATCTTGGCTCATTGCAACCTCTGCCTCCCAGGTTCAGGCGACTCTACTACCTCAGCCTCCTGAGTAGCTGGGATTACAAGCATGTGCCACCATCCCTGGCTGTATTTTTAGTAGAGATGGGGCATGGTGGCACACGCCTGTAATCCCAGCTACTCGGGAGGCTGAGGCAGGAGAATGGCGTGAACCCAGGAGGTGGAGCTTGCAGTGAGCCGAGATTGGGCCACTGCACTCCAGCCTGGGTGACAGAGCGAGACTGTCTCAAAAAAATTTTTAAAAAAAGGCACCTGGCCACGGTGGTTCATGCCTGTAATCCCAGTACTTTGGGAGGCCAAGGTGGAATGATCACTTGAACCCAGGAGTTTGAGACCAGCCCGGGCAACATAGTGCGACCCTGTCTCTATAAAAGAATTTTTTTGGCCGGGTGCGGTGGCTCACACCTGTAATCCCAGCACTTTGGGAGGCCGAGGCGGAAAGATCACGAGATCAGGAGATCGAGACCATCCTGGCTAATACAGTGAAAACCTGTCTCTACTAAAACCAAAAAAATTAGCTGGGCGTGGTGGCGGGCACCTGTAGTCCCAGCTACTCAGGAGGCTGAGGCAGGAGAATGGCGTCAACCCTGGAGGTGGAGGTTGCGGTGAGCTGAGATTGCGCCACTGCACTCCAGCCTGGGTGACAGAGTGAGACCGTCTCAAAAAAAAAAAAAAAAGAATTTTTTTTTGTAATTAGCCAGGCATGGTGGCATGCCCCTATAGTTCCAGCTACTTAGTAGGTTGAGGCAGGAGGATCGCTTTAGCCTAGGAGGTCAAGGTTGTGGTGAGCCGTGATTGTGCCACTACACTCCAGCCTCTGTAACAGAGCAAGAAACTCTGGTATAGAGAGAACAATGGATATAACTTTGGGTACGTTAATAGGAAGAGGAATAGAAAGTAAAGATAGAGGAGAAAAATTAAGATAATTTTTCTTAATTTAAGAAACAGAGAGAAATGAAATAAATCAGTATTATGAAAAGGAAGTGAGTAGAAAATTTTAAGAAAGAGCTGTTCAGTAATCCCGAATGCTGAAGTGATCATGGAGAATTAAGAATAAAAAAGAGCTTTGCAGTAGAAACTTATAATAAATTGAGAGTAAAATTCCAGTAGCGAGAGGATGAAATTAACATTGTAGGAGATTGGGAAGACAATAGAATTTTTCTGATGTACAAAGAGCCCTTACAAGCCAGAAAGAAAAAAAATGATCAACTCAGTAAAGAAATAAACAAAAAAACTTGAATAGGCAAGAAATTGAAGAGGAAATACAACTGGGCAATAAACATAGGAAAAGATGTTTAGCTTCACCTATAATTAAATAAGTGCAAATTAAAACAGGATATCTTTTTTTAATTAATGTATCATCAAAATTAAAAAGATTGATGTTACTTGGGCCAGGCATGGTGACTCATGACTGTAATCCCAGCACTTTGGGAGGCCGAGGCAGGCAGATCACGAGGTCAGGAGATTGAGACCATCCTGGCTAACACAGTGAAACCCTGTCTCTACTAAAAATACAAAAATTACCTGGGTGTGGTGGCACACGCCTGTAGTACCAGCTACTCGGGAGGCTGAGGCAGGAGAATCACTTAAACCCAGTGAACCTGGGAGGCGGAGGTTGCAGTGAGCTGAGATCGCACCATTGCCCTCCAGCCTGGGTGACAGAGCAAGAGTCTGTCTCAAAATAAATAAATAAATAAATAAATAAATAAATAAACAAATATTGGTATTACTCAGTGTTGGTAAGGATGCAGGGGAAGAGGAACCCTAACATACTCTGGGTGGTATATTTTTGAAAAGCAACTTGGCAATATCTATTCAAATTTAAGATGTTCTTAGCCTTTTAAATTTTTTATTTATTTATTTTTGAGGATTCTCCATACTGTTGTCCCTAATGGTAGTACCAATTTACATTCCCACCAATAGTGTACGAGAAGGGTTCTCTTTTCTCTTTTCCCCACATCCTCACCAATACTTGTTATATTTTGTCTTTTTTTATAACAGCCATTCTAACAGGTGTGAGGTGATATCTTACTGTGATTTTGATTTGCATTTCCCTGATTATTAGAGTACTTTTTTCATATACCCGTTAGCCATTTGTATATCTTCTTTTGAGAAATGTCTATTCAGGTACTTTGCCCCCCGGCCTTTTTTTTTTTTTTTTTTTTTTTTTTTTTGAGACAGAGTTTCACCCCTGTTGCCCAGGCCAGAGTGCAATGGTGCAGTCTTGGCTCACTGCACTGCAACCTCCGCCTACCGGGTTCAAGCAGTTCTGCTGCCTCAGCCTCCCAAGTGGCTGGGATTACAGGCACCTGCCACCACGCCTGGGTAATTTTGTATTTTTTGTAGAGACAGGTTTTCACCTTGTTGGTCAGGCTGATCTGAAACTCCTGACCTCAGGTGACCCGCCCACCTTGGCCTCCCAAAGTGCTGGGATTACAGGCGTGAGCCACTGCGCCCGGTCACACCAGGCTAATTTTTGTATTTTTAGTAGAGACAGGGTTTCTCCATGTTGGTCAGGCTGGTCTCAAACTCCCAACCTCAGGTGATCCTCCCACCTCAGCCTCCCAAAGTGCTGTGATTACAGGCCTGAGCCACTGCGCCCAGCCATATTTTTTGTATTTTTAGTACAGACAGAGTTTCACCATGTTGGCCAGGCTGGTCTGGAACTCCTGACCTCAGGTGATCCACCCACCTTGGTCTCTCAAAGTGCTGGGATTACAGGCATGAGCCACCGTGCCCAGCCTGTTTTTCTTGCTATTGAGTTGTTTGAGTTTCTTATATATTTTGGATATTAACATTAGCCCTTATCAGATGCATAGTTTGCAAATATATTCTCCCATTCCATAGTCTGTCTCTTCGCTCTGTCGATAGTTTCCATTGTTGTTGTTGTTTGATGCAATCTCACTTGTCTATTTTTGAGACTACTCATTTCTATTTGTTCTAAGTCTGAGCTTCCCTGGTGACCTGCTAACCTAATTTCCCATGTGGACTATAACTTGCATTGTGACATGCCAGTTGCAGAACTCTGTAAATTTACTGAAAGTCATTAAATTCACAATGAGTGAGGTTTGTTTGTTTTTTTCTTTAGAGACAGGGTCTTGCTCTGTTGCCCAGGCTGAAGTGCAGTGGTGTGATCATAGCTCATTCCAGCCTCAAACTCCTGGGCTCAGGCAATCCTTCCACCTCAGCCTCCCAAAAGTGCTAGGATTACAGGTTTGAGTTGCCGCACCCATACTCCAATAAAACTGTCTAGAATCTTTGAAGGTCTTAGTTCCCACAGATCAGGGCAATTGGAAAACCTATTGGGTTTCTGCTCTAAGTTTTGTTTTTTTTTTTCTCAATGTGAGGCTTGCAAGCCATGCCTTCAATCTAATCATTTCTCTAGGGATGTGGTGTGGATCCTTTCTTCCAAAAGAGCCTTTTTTCAAACTGAAGGCCAAATAAAAATTGCATTTACATTTCTGTATGATTTCAAACTAAATAAGAGAAGCCTAGATTTCTTGATAATTGTGAATTAGCTGAGGTGTTTTAAAACACACATCTCCAGGACCCTCCCTGGATCAGCTGAATATGATTCTTGGGGTCAGGGAGACTTGAGTTTCTGCATGGCTAAGAATTTTTCCAGGTGATTCTGATACAGATAGCCTGTCATTAGGCTGAAGGATAGTAACCATAACCCTAGCTCACACCTTATCCTTGTCTTGGAATGATGCCTTGGGGCATTGCCTCATACCTTAGGCCTCTGAGCTTCATTTTAAAAGTTATTAAATGGGAACATTATTTGGCTGTATACCTGTAAGTCCTATCATAAGGAACTGAGTCAACTTCTAAGATAAACAAATACATAAATAGGGCCACTGAGAAATAAAAAGACAAACATAGCCCAATTAAATCTTAATTCAGCTGAGATTATTTGATTTCCACAATTGTGTTCAATTATGTTCAAATCAAATTCATGTATTATTTATTTTGCCCTTTTTTTTGTTTGTTTTTGAGACAGTCTCGCCCTGTTGCCCAGGCTGAAGTGCAGTGGCCCAATCTCGGCTCACTGCAACCTCTGCCTCCCAGTTCAAGCTATTCTTGTGCCTCAGCCTCCTGAGTAGCTTCGACTACAGGTGCGTGCCACAATGCCCGGCTAATTTTTGTATTTTCAGTAGAGACTGGGTTTCGCCATGTTGGCCAGGCTGGCCTCGAACTTCTGGCCTCAAGGGATCCACCCCTGTCGGCCTCCCAAAGTGCTGGGATTACAGGTGTTAGCCACCTCGCCTGGCCGTGTTGTTGTTGTTTTGTTGTTGTTGTTGAGATGGAGTCTTGTTCTGTCACCCAGGCTGGAGTGCAGTGGCATGATCTTGGCTCACTGCAACCTCCTCCTCCCAGGTTCAAGCAATTCTTCTGCCTCAGCCTCCCGAGTAGCTGGGATTACGGGCACCCGCCAGCATGCCCGGCTAATTTTTGTATTTTTACAAAATTACAGGCATGAGCCACTGCACTGGGACTTAAATTAAAATTTTTGATAATCCAGGAGATTACCCTGGATTATCAGGGTTGGCTCTAAATGTGATCACAAGTATCCATGTAAGAGGAAGGCAGAGGGAGGGTATGAATACAGAAAAGGAAATATGACCACAGAAGCAGGGTGGAGTGATGGCAACGAATACAGGCAGCCTCTAGAAGCTAGAAAAGGCAAGGAGCCGGATGCGGTGGCTCATGCCTGTAGTCCTAGCACTTTGGGAGGCCGAGGTGGGTGGATCACCTGAGGTCAGGAGTTCAAAACCAGTCTGACCAATATGGTGAAACCCCGTCTCTACTAAAAATACGAAACTTAGCTGGGTGGGCACCTGTAATCCCAGCTACTTGGGCAGCTGAGGCAGGAGAATCGCTTGAACCTGGGAGGCAGAGGTTACAGTGAGCCGAGATCGCACGCCACTGCACTCAGTCTGGGCAACAGAGTGAGACTCCGTCTCAAAAAAAGAAAAGGCAAGGAAACAGATTCTCCCCTAGATCCCCCAGAAGGCACTAGTGCTGCCAACACCTTAACTTTATACCAGCGAAACTAATTTCAGATATCTGTCCTCTGGAATTGTAAAATAATAAACGTGTGGCACTTTATATCACCAAGTTTATGGTAATGCGTTACAACAGTCATAGGAAACTAATACATACGGTTTCCCAAAGAACAAAGTTGATCTGTCTGAGCTGCGTTCTAAATGATAAATAGGAATTCAACAAGCAGTTAAGGAAGTGAAGAAAAGTCCAGTGAAGACTCTCCAGTATTGGAAGTCAGGAACTTGGACCATAAAACCTATGGTTTTCCACTCCAAGTTTTGTGAAGATGTCTCACTTTTTAGCAATAATAGTTGAAAATTTCGAACCTGGGTGTGGGTTTCCTTTCTTTTGCCTTACCTCCAGTTTTGCAGTTTGAAATTTAATCTTTTTTAAAAAATAAAATTTATTGTCTAGGCGCGGTGGCTCACGCCTGTAATCCCAGCGCTTTGGGAGGCCGAGGCGGGCGAATCACTTGAGGTCAGAAGTTCGAGACCAGCCTGGCCAACATGGAGAAACCCCATCTCTACTAAAAATACAAATATTAGCCAGGCGTGATGGCACGCGCCTGTAATCTCAGCTACTCAGGAGGCTGAGGCAGTAGAATCACTTGAACCCGGGAGGCGGAGGTTGCAGTGAGCCAAGATCGTGCCACTGCCCTCCAGCCTGGGCGACAGAGTGAGACTCTGTCTCAAATAAACAAACAAACAAACAAACAAATAAAATGTATTACGTCTTGGAGGGAAGAGAGGAGACTTTCCAGAGAGAAATTCTTCTTTTTTTCTTTTTTTTTCTCAGACCTCTCAGGGATGAAAAGGAGAACATTCTTCAGGAAATAAATGAGAAAACTAGAGAGATAATCAGATCACTGATACTTGTTAATTGTTGGAGCAGGTTTGGAGAGAGAGTGACAAAGATCTCGCCAAAAACAAGTAAAGAAATTCCTTGCCTGATTTGTTTGGTATTAAGAGAAACAAAATAATAAAAAGAACTCTAAGTTTGGTATGACTAACAAAAGAATAAGTTAATTCACACAGAATGCAGCACAAAAACTCGGGATATATAGATATAGTTAAAAGATGGGGAGGCCAGGCACAGTGGCTCACTCCTGTAATCCTAACACTTTGGGAGGCCCAGGCAGGCGAATGCCTGAGCTCAGGAGTTCGAGACCAGCCTGGGCAACATGGTAAAACCCCGTCTCTAGTAAAAATACAAAAATTATCTGGGCGTGGTGGCATGCGCCTATAGTCCCAGCTACTTGGGAGGCTGAGACAGGAGAATCACTTGAATCTGGGAGGCAGCGGTTGCAGTGAGCCAAGATTGCGCCATTGCACTCCAGCCTGGGCAACAGAGCGAGACTCCATCTCAAAAAATAAATAAATTAAAAAAAAAAAAAACCCGTACATGGATCTCCTAAGAACAAATAAGGATTTTTTTTTTTTTTTTTGAAATGGAATCTGGCTCTGTCTCCCAGGCTGGAGGGCAGTGGCGCAATCTCGGCTCACTGCAAGCTCCGCCTCCCGGGTTCACGCCATTCTCCTGCCTCAGCCTCCCCAGCAGCTGGGACTACAGGCACACGCCGCCACGCCTGGCTAATTTTTGTATTTTTAGTAGAGACGGAGTTTCTCTGTGTTAGCCAGGGTGGTATCGATCTCCTGACCTCATGATCTGCCTGCCTCAGCCTCCCAAAGTGCTGGGATTACAGGCGTGAGCCACCGCACCCGGCCGAACAAATAAGGATTTTAAGAGACAGTTCACTCTATATCCTTACTGAAAAGAAAATATGATCTCTCCCTGCCCCCCCACCCCCCACTGGAAGGACACAATCCTGCTAAAGACACAATTATTATTATTATTATTTTGAGACAGGGTCTTGCTCTGTCACCCAGGTTGGAGTGCACTGGTGCAACCACACCTCACTGCAGCCTCAACCTCCCAGGCTCAAGCAATCCTCCTACCTCAGCCTCCCACAGTGCTGGGATTACAAGCATAAGCCACCAAGCCCAGTCACAATTGATTTTATTTTATTTTTTGCGACAGTCTCGCTCTGTCACACAGGCTGGAGTGTAGTGGCACGATCTCGGCTAACTGCAACCTCTGCCTCCCAGTTTCAAGAGATTCTCCTGCCTTGGCCTCCGGAGTAGCTGGCATTACAGGCGCTCGCCACCATGCCCAGCTAATTTTTTTGTATTTTTAGTAGAGATGGTTTTCGCCATGTTGCCCAGGCTGGTCTCAAGCTCCTAAGCTCAGGCAATCCGCCCGCCTCAGCCTCCTAAAGTGTTAAGATTATGGGCGTGAGCCACCATACCCAACCCACAATTTATATTATTAATAAAAAGATAAACCCCAGCATATCAGTCTGAAAGACCTGAATTTTGGTTAATGGTCCTTTTGTGACTTTCTTTAGGATAGAGATAGGTATTTCTTTTATATGTGTCTAAAGGGCCCATTCTAGTGATTTCCATGAGTATAGGCAGATTGCTTCAAGATTAATTTATGTCTTGCCTTCTAGAAATAGAAAAGTACAGCTGTAAAACATAACACTTTTTTGACTTAAAAAAATAGTTTCATTTATTGGGCACTTGTTCTGCGTTCCTTTAGGGGACGGTCAGTCAGGTGCAGCCAAGAGGAGACACGGGAGAGGCACAATAAAACAAAATTTATTACACTCACAGGTTTTAGAAAGAGGGCCATTATATGCCACACAAGGTCACAGGGGAAATGCCAAGTTTGGGTCAGGTAGCAGAAGACAGTAACAAGGAGAAAGTATAGACCAGAACTTTTTCTCTGTCTCACTTTTGTTGCCCAAGATGGAGTGCAATGACACAATCTCAGCTCACTGCAACCTCCGCCTCCCAGGTTCAAGCGATTCTCCTGCCTCAGACCCCTAAGTAATTGGGATTACAGGCATGTGCCCCCACACCTGGCTTATTTTTCTGTATTTAGTAGAGACAGGGTTTCACCATGTTTGTCAGGCTGTTCTCAAACTCCTGACCTCAGGTGATCCATGTGCTTCGGCCTCCCATAGTGTTGGGATTACAAAGATGAGCCACTGCGCCCAACCTAGGCCAGAACTTTTTTTTTTTTTGAGGCAGAGTCTCGCTCTGTCACCCAGGCTGGAGTGCAGCGGCACGATCTTGGCTCACTGCAACCTCCGCCTCTCAGGTTTAAGCAATTCTCCCGCCTCAGCCTCCTGAGTAGCTGGGATTACAAGTGTGCGCCACCATGCCCGGCTAATTTTTTGTATTTTTAGTAGAGACAGGGTTTCGCCATGTTGGCCAGGCTGGTCTCGAACTCCTGACCTCGTGATCCGCCCGCCTAGGCCTCCCAAAGTGCTGGGATTACAGGCGTGAGCCACTGCGCCTGGCCTAGGCCAGAACTTTTGTTGGGGTTTCTAAGGGTAAGGCAAGGCAGGGCAAAGAGTTTAGGGTTGGCTAGTTTGAATAACTCCTGCAGGCTGTAAACTTTAGGGATGGTCCCTAATTGCCTGCGATGATTAAGGCAAAAGAATATTGCTTCTTGTGATGTACAGGCCAGATAGGGGAGGTATAGCGCTGGACTGGTCAGTTTATGTATCAAAGGAATGTTTTGGCTGGGCGTGGTGGCTCACACCTATAATCCCAGCACTTTGGGAGGCCTAGGCAGGTGGATCACTTGAGGTCAGGAGTTTGAGACCAGCCTGGACAATATGGTGAAACTCCAGTCTCTACTAAAAATACAAAAATTAGCCGGGTGTGGTGGCCTGTGCCTGTAGTCTCAGCTACTCAGGAGGCCGAAGCATGAGAATTGCTTGAACCCAGGAGGCGGAGGTTGCAGCGAGCCAAGATGGCACCACTGCATTCCAGCCTGTGTGACAGAGCAAGACTCCATCTCAAAAAAAAAAAAAAGTCCTTTGCTATCTCTAATTGGTTAGCATTGGAAGGGCAGTCTCTCCCAGCCAGAAAGGATTTTATAAGATGTCAAAATATGGGCCGGGTGCAGTGGCTCACACCTGTAATCCCAGCTCTTTGGGAGGCCGAAGCAGGCGGATCACCTGAGGTCAGGAGTTCAAGACCAGCCTGGCCAACATGGTGAAACCAAGTCTCTACTAAAAAATACAAAAATTAGCCGGGCGTGTTGGCGGGCGCCTGTAATTCCAGCTTCTCAGGAGGCTGAGGCAGGGAGAATTGGTTGAACCCAGAGGAGGAGGTTGCAGTGAGCCAAGATCGTGCCACTGCACTCCAGCCTCAGCGACAGAGCGAGACTCCAACTCAAAAAGAAAAGAAAAGATGTCAAAATATGGCCCGGCACCGTGGCTCACGCCTGTAATCCCAACACTTTGGGAGGCCGAGGTGGGCGGATCACGAGGATCAGAAGATCCAGACCATCCTGGCTAACACAATGAAAACCTGCCTCCACTAAAATTACAAAAAAAAAAGATGGGTGTGGTGGCACACACCTGTAGTCACAGCTACTTGGGAGGCTGAGGTAGGAGAATCACTTGAACCTGGGAGGTGGAGGTCGCAGTGAGCCGAGATCGCGCCACTGCACTCCAGCCTGGGTGACAGAGTGAGACTTTGTCTCAAAAAAAAAAAAAAAAAAGTCAAGATATTATCATCTACAGAAAATATATATATAAATTAATGAGTATAAAGGGGAGTAAGAACTAGCCCAGAATCCCAGAAATAGACTCTCCCTCTTCGTTTTTAGTACCTTCAAAATATTTGAATTCCTTCTTTCTTAGCCCTAAATCTTGTCCCTGAGATTATTTTTTTCCTCTCTGGATCAATCTTTCACCTTTAATCACAACCAAGAAGGAATATGGTATCAAAACTGCTTAGTTTTTAAAGGTATCATTTCATGAATAGTATAATATTGATGTATATGAATCACATGTATATGAAGAAAGGGTCAAAAACAATGAGATCCAGGCACAGCAGCATGCACCTACTCAGGAGGCTGAGGTGGGAGGATTGTCTGAGCCCAGGAGTTTGAGGCCAACCTGGGTAACATAGGAAGACAACATAAATTTATAATATTTAATATAAATACAAGCATATTGGCATATTTTGGATGATCTAGATTAACACTTTTTTGAGTGATCTTCAGTTCACATTCAAATTTACAATTGAACTGATGTCACATTATACTCTAAAGTTAGAGCATTTAATATATATATATATATTTTTTTGAGATGGAGTCTTGCTCTGTGGCCCAGGCTGGAGTGTAATGGCGGGATCTCAGCTCACTGCAACCTCCGCCTCCCAGGTTCAAGCGATTCTCCTGCCTCAGCCTCCCAAGTAGCTGGGATTACAGGCGCCTGCCTCCACGCCCACCTAATTTTTGTATTTTTAGTAGAGGCAGAGTTTCACCATATTGGCCAGGCTGGTGTCGAACTCCTGACCTCAGATGATCCGGCCGCCTCAGCCTTCCAAAGTGCTGGGGTTACAAGTGTGAGCCACCACGCCCATCCACATTTAACCTTTAAGGCAATGTCTCCCAGGCTGGCAACATTCCCAGAGATCTATAATTACATGCCTCAGGGTTCATAATTTCTTTTTTTTTTTTTTTTTTGAGACGGAGTTTTGCACTGTCACCCAGACTGGAGTGCAGTGGCGCAATCTCGGCTCACTGCAACTTCTGCCTCCCAGATTCAAGTGATTCTCCTGCCTCAGCCTCCCAAGTAGCTGGAATTACAGGCATGTTGCCACCATACCCTGCTAATTTTGTAGTTCTAGTAGAGACAGGGTTTCTTTTTTTTTTCTGAGACAAAGTCTCGCTCTGTTGCCCAGGCTGGAGTGCCATGGCACGATCTCAGCTCACTGCAACCACTGCCTCCTGGGTTGAAGCGATTCTCCTGCCCCAACCTCCCAAGTAGCTGGGATTACAGGTGTGTGTCACCACGCCCAGCTGATTTTTGTATTTTTAGTAGAGACGGGGTTTCACCACGTTGGTCAGGCTGATCTCGAACTCCTGACCTCGTGATCTGCCCGCCTCAGCCTCCCAAAGTGCCGGGATTACAGGCGTGAACCACCGTGCCCGGCCAGACGGGGTTTCACCATACTGGTCAAGCTGGTCTTGAACTCTTGACCTCAGGTGATCCACCCACCTCAGTCTCTCAAAGTGCTGGGATTACATGTGTGAGCCACCATGCCTGCCATAAAAACCCTTTTTTCATGTGGACTAACACCTCAAGTACATGTTCAGGAGCTGGCTCTATTACCATGTCTGATTAGCCAGATTTTTGCAGCTCATACTTTAAAGACAGACTCAGCATTATCAATCGATCTATGAATATAGTATTGCGTTTTGGGTGTTTTTTTTTTTTTTTTTTTTTTTTTTAGACAGAGTCTTGCTCTGTCACCCAGGCTGGAGTACAGTGGCGCGATCTCGGCTCACTGCAAGCTCCGCCTCCTGGGTTCATGCCATTCTCCTGCCTCAGCCTCCCGAATAGCTGGGACTACAGGCGCCCACCATCACGCCCGGCTAATTTTTTGTATTTTTTAGTAGAGACAGGGCTTCACCATGTTAGCCAGGATGGTCTCGATCTCCTGACCTCGTGATCCACCCGCCTCGGCCTCCCAAAGTGCTGGGATTACAGGCGTGAGCCACTGCGCCCGGCCTTTTTTTAAAATTTTTTTTCTTTCTCCCTTCTAGTCAAAGCATGAAACCTTTACGTCACTGGAAATATACTGTAGTGACTTTGAGGGGAATAGGATGGTGAGGGGATAATCTTCATACTCTTTCTCCTTTTTCACCTCTTTCCATGATCCCCCTTAGTATCTATCTCCCCTCTCTGTAACATTATTGCTCTCCCAGTGCGTTACTTTTTCCTTGAGTCATATTGTGTGTGTGCGTGTGTGTGTTTATATAGTATTTTTAGTAGAGAGAGGGTTTCACCATGTTGGCCAGGCTGGTCTCGGACTATTGACCTTAAGTGATCCGCCTGCCTCAGCCTCCCAAAGTGCTGGGATTACGGGCGTGAGCCACTGTGCCCAGCCTCGAGTTATATTTTCTTTTCCACTTTTTTTCTTGTCTGTTTTTTTCCCATTTATTTTCAGGCCACCTCCTATTTTTTGTGAACACAATTAAATGTGGCTTCCATTCCATATTTAGCGTGTATGTATGGACACTTAAACAGCAGTCTTTTGTTGAATAATATACAACATTTATGGATAACTCAGCACTTTACATTCAATTCCTCTTATCCTTAAAGCAGTCTTGAAGAGTAGATGCTGTATGTCTGTCTTGCAGATGAACTTAGCCTAAGAGGGAATAAGTAACTTGTGAAAGATCTCATAGGTAATATGTGGCAAAATTCATGCTCTTTAAACAATGTCACATTCCATTCTTAGGAAAAAACAAAGTCCAAAAAGAAAAAAAAAAAGAAAGAAAAAAAAGAAGGCGGGCATAGTGGCACATGTCTGTGGTCCTGGCTATTTGGGAGGCTAAAGTGGAAGGATTGCTTGAGCCCAGAAGTTCAAGACCAGCCTCAGCAACATAGCAAGACCTCATTTCTTAGAAGAAGGAGGAAGAGGAGGAGCAGAAGGAGAAGAAAGAAGAGGCTGAGTAATTTTTGTTGTTGCTGTTTTGTTCATTTGTTTGTTTTTTGAGACAGGGTCTCACTCTGTCGCCCAGGCTGGAGTGCAGTGACACCATCTCAGCTCACTGCAACCAAGGCTGAGTAATTTTATATGCTCCCTCTACACTGCTTTGGTCAGAGATCTCATCTAGGTTCCTGGCAACCTGCAAGCCTAATTAACATCTTTTCCACTTTCATGGCTTAACTCCAATCTAATATTTTCAATGTTTTTATATTAGTTGTCACCCTAAACTGAACCACTGTTTTCCCCCCAAAACTAGCATCCCCTCAAACTGCACCTTTTTCTGTTAATGGCTCCACCACATTTTGTTATGCAGAGTCAAAATCTTGGTGTTATTCATTCATTCAACAAATATTTAAATATTATTCAGCACATACAACTTTGCAAGGGATGCTGGAAAACACAATGGTAAGTTTAATGGAACTTCTGCCTTCATAAAGGCTTATATTCTATCAGGAAAGACAAACAAGTGTGGACCCAAACTAGTATAGTGATAGTAGAGATTTCCTGGAGAAAGTGATGGTCAAGAGGGGTGTGGAGAGGTGTGCTCCATGGGTAAAAGTGTAAGAGAAAGCATGGCTTTAGATGCACCCAAAGACATTGCTGAAGCAGAGTTGTAGGAGAAATGGAGAGTTAAAGAGAGGCATACGTGAATCTGGATGATTAGCATGAAGGGTCTTGTAAACTATAAGGAATTTGGACTATCGGAAGAGCATGAAGAAGCCATGATTAGTTTTATCTTTTTAAAGAATCTTTTTTTTTTTTTTGAGACGGAGTTGCTCTGTCACCCAGGGTGGAGTGCAGTGGCGCCATCTTGGTTCACTGCAACCTCCGCCTCTGGGGTTCAAGCTATTCGCCTGCCTTAGCCTCCCAAGTAGCTGGGATTACAGGAGCGCACCACTACGCCTGGCTAATTTTTGTATTTTTAGTAGAGACGGGTTTCACATGTTGGCCAGGCTGGTCTCGAACTTCTGGCCTCAAGTGATCCACCACCCCCCCTTGGCCTCCCAAAGTGCTGGGATTACAAGTGTGAGCCACTGTGCCCGGCTGAAAAGAATCAATTTTGTCATAGTTTGGAGAATTTCTCCTTTTCTCTCCATCCCTTGAATGCAATTTATTACCAAATCTGTCTTATTTGTTATTGTCTAATTTGTCCTTTCATCTGGATTCCCATTGCCACCCTGCGTGGTACCACCTTACTCCCAGCTCTTCTCATCTCCTGCTTAGAGTAAGAGCTCTCTAACTAGTAGCAGTGCCCCAGGCCAGGCGCGGTGGCTCACGCCTGTAATCCCAGCACTTTGGGAGGCTGAGGCGGGTAGATCACGAGGTCAGGAGTTCGAGACCAGCCTGGCCAACATGGTGAAACCCCGTCTCTACTAAAAATACAAAAATTAGCCAGGCGTGGAATCCTAGCTACTCGGGAGGCTGAGGCAGGAGAATCGCTTGAACCTGGGAGGCGGAGGTTGCAGTGAGCCAAGATAGCGCCACTGCACTGCAGCCTGGGCAACAAGAGCGAAACTCTGTCTTAAAAAAAAAACAATAGTAGGCGGGGTGCGGTGGCTCACGCCTGTAATCCCAACACTTTGGGAGGCCGAGGCGGGCGGATCACGAGGTCAGGAGATGGAGACCATCCTGGCTAACACGGTGAAACCTCGTCTCTACTAAAAATACAAAAAATTAGCCAGGCGTGGTGGCGGGCGCCTGTAGTCCCAGCTACTCGGGAGGCTGAGGCAGGAGAATGGCGTGAACCCGGGAGGCGGAGCTTGTAGCCTGGGCGACAGAGCGAGACTCTGTCTCAAAAACAAACAAAAAACAACAACACAACAGTGCCCCAGACTCTCTCCCTCCAATGTACACTGCATACAAAGACTAGACAAACGATGCCAAAGGTTACACCAGGACGACAATGAAGTCCAAGTCACTCATCTTGGCGCTTCTTTTTATCAAGCTAGCTAGTTAATATTACCACTTACAATCATTCTCCGAGTCCAGCCAGCTTCCTCAGAAATCCTCCCCAAATGCAGTTCACATTCTTCCCTCACTCCTCCAAACCTTATAACATTATTCCCTTTTCCTGTGGCATAATGCAATCCAGAGGCATCCTCTCTGAGAGCCTACATCCTTTCAATCCTCCAAGAAACAGCTCCTCCTCCCATCCTTGAGCTTTTCCCACCCAGAATAGGCTGTACCAAACATTTCTACATTGTATTAACTCGAATTATATCACAGATCGAGGTCTTCGCTTTCAGAAAAGACTCACATTCTTCTCATATAGGCCTCGCATGGCCTGGCCAAGTACTTCCTAAGCTCGGAACAAATACTGGTCAACTTTAATTGAACCAAATCGGGCGGGGTTTGCGGAGTCTGAGAGTGCAACGTTGGGGAGAGGGGGATGAAAACACTGGAGGACGGGCTGAAAGCGTCGAGTCCGACACAAAAGAGGCGTCAGACAAAACGCCAAGAGGCTGGGGACTGGGAACGAAGGAAGAGGTTCTGCCAGAGGCGACCTGCCACCTGCGCGAGGAAGCGGAGTAGGACGGCGGCCGTTGGTGGGCGTGGTCGCGCTAGTCTCGCGGGAGCGGCCGTTGGGCGGGCCGTTGTCCCTGCGGGCGGGGCGAGTTGCTAAGGAAATGACTGCCCGCAGCGCCTGGCCCCGCCGCGCAGGCCGGGCGGGGTCTGGAGCGGCGCCGTTTCCGCTTCCGCTCCCTCACAGCTCCCGTCCCGTTACCGCCTCCTGGCCGGCCTCGCGCCTTTCACCGGCACCTTGCGTCGGTCGCGCCGCGGGGCCTGCTCCTGCCGCGCGCACCCCCGGGGCTTCGGCTCCGGCACGGGTCGCGCCCAGCTTTCCTGCACCTGAGGCCGCCGGCCAGCCGCCGCCATGGGTGCCTACCTCTCCCAGCCCAACACGGTGAAGTGCTCCGGGGACGGGGTCGGCGCCCCGCGCCTGCCGCTGCCCTACGGCTTCTCCGCCATGCAAGGCTGGCGCGTCTCCATGGAGGTGAGGAGGCAGGGGCCCATAGGCTGGCCGCTGCGGGGCGGGAATCTGACGGAGAAAGAGAGCGGGGGATGGGGTCCTCCCCTGGGAAGGGTCCCAATTGGGAGCCTGCGGCCGCAGCGGCCGTTTGCGGGGCGACAGAGACCGCGGGGTCAGGGCCGAGAGGGAGCTCCCGATGCTTGGGGACCGTGTGCCGGTGGCCAGTGGCGGCGAGGGCTCGGCCATGTGGGAAGAGGCACCTTCCGCCCACTGACCGCCCTCTCCCCGAGCTTTGGCGCCATCCTCTCGTGCCAACCTAGCCCTCCAGGCTCATCAACGGTGTGAGGTTTAGTGTGGGAGTAAAGACGCAAATAGGGGCTATTTATTCATTTGTTTTTCAAGGGAGAGGTGAATAGATGTGAATAACTTTTTAAATTTTAATATTTAAAATATCTGATGTGGGAAGCCTCTTTTGGCTAGGAGTTTGACAGTGAAAGGAACCCCGGGCAGAGTCTGTTTCACATTTTGGTTGCCTGGCCTTGGGCTCTTGCATGTTAATTTCAGAGGCTGGACCCGACCTCCAGGAGTTGTCACTCATTTGCACTCTTTTCAGGGCCTTTTACTAACTTCGGAAAACTTGAATTATGTCAGTCCCTAGGTTTTCCTTTTTATTATGCTTCGTTTTCTTTCTCTCTTAGGATTTCTCTAAAACTTAATCAGTAATTCTCATTTGCCTGTAATTGTAGTTTATAGTTTCTTTGATTGTAAGTCATTTCATCAATTTTTTTCATCACAACCTACCTACAAAGGGCTTTTCTAGAAAATTTTACTCTGGACAAAAGGGGAAAAGAAAAATATTGGGGGGAAAGTAGTAGTATTAGGTAAAACTTGATGTGAAACTACAAAAGAGAAGAGGGAAAACTGCGGTAGGGAGGAAAGGGAGGAAGACGGGTTAACCGTGGCTTTGTGAAGAGCATTCTGAAGTCTAGGCAAAAGGGCCAGGGAAATACTCTGTCTGGTATTGAGGGTTTCTCCACCTACCGGGTGGGCTTCAGGTAACAGCGAAATACTGTCTCCCTTGGGAATTGTTTCAGATCCCTCGCTCCTCCCTGTGGTTAGCTCTGGAATGACAGTATGAACTTAAATGTTTTGTTTTCCGATTCAAATTTTATATTCATAACTGACCTTAATAACAATTTTATAATTAGGTATAAAATTTCAGGATTGGAGTGTATCCTATAGTTCATCTCATCTGCTTTGGCTCCCTTTTTTTTTTTTTGAGACAGAATTTCGCTCTTGTTGCCCAGGCTGGAATGCAATGGCGCGATCTCGGCTCACCGCAACCTCCGCCTCCCAGGTTCGAGCAATTCTCCTGCCTCAGCCTCCCTAGTAGTTGGGATTACAGGCATGTGCCACCACGCCTGGCTTATTTTGTATTTTTAGTAGAGACAGGGTTTCTTCATGTGGGTCAGGCTGGTGTTGAACTCCTGACTTAGGTGATCTGCCTGCCTCGGTCTCCCAAAGTGCTAGGATTACAGGCATGAACCACCACACCCTGCGGCTCCCACATTTTATAGCTAAGAAATTGAGGCCCAGAAAGGTTAGGACACTGTTTTGGTGGAAAGAATTTGTAGGATCAGATCGTTGAAGACACTAGACATTGTTAATCATCTATGTCAAACTGAAGCATAGCATTCATATTTCACCACCATACACAGTATAACTATTTGGTAGATGTAATTGTCTATTAGAAATATCTAGGCTGGGCGCAGTGGCTCACGTCTGTAATCCCAGCATTTTGGGAGGCCGAGGCAGGCAGATCACCTGAGCTCAGGAGTTCGAGACCAGCCTGGGCAACATGGCAAAAACCCTGTCTCTACAAAAAATACAAAAAAATTAGCTGGGCATGGTGGCACCCACCTGTAGTCCCAGTTACTTGGGAGGCTGAGATAGAAAATCACTTTGAGCCTGAGAGGCAGAGCCTTCATTGAGCCAAGATCGCCCCTCTGCACTCCAATCTGGGTGACAGAGCGAGACGCTGTCTCAAAAAATAAATGAATAGGCCAGGCATGGTGGCTCATGCCTGTAATCCTAACACTTTGGGAGGCTGCGGCGGGCGGATTGCCTGAGCTTAGGAGTTCGAGACCAGCCTGGACAACATGAAGAAACCCCGTCTTTATTAAAATACAAAAAATTAGCTGAATGTGGTGGTGCGTGCCTATAATCATAGCTACTTGGAAGGCTGAGGCAGGAGAATCGCTTGAATCCCAGAGGCGGAGGTTGCAGTGAGCCAAGATCGTGCCACTGTACTCCAGCCTGGGCGACAGAGTGAGACACTGTCTCAAAAAAAAAAAAAAAAAGAATAAATAAATAAATCTGGGTATAGTTTCGTAGGAAAGTCTTTTTGTAAAGTAGGTAGTCAAGAAGTTCCATTTCCATGGCATTTTCTGTTAACGTTGTGAGATTTGAGGTGAATATTCCATCTCGCAGTAAAACGTTTCTTCCAGGTTTCTCATTTAATATTTTTCACTTCTCTGCTGTTGTTTTTTCATTTCTTTGGTACCCTTCTTTCTACTTTTACTTACGGATTGAGTTGCTTGGCTACTCAGTGTTTCACGTTGGTTTGCCCAGTGATTCCATACTATTTGCTGCTTCTCTGTAGGGCATTTCCCTTTATTTTTGGTTTCTCCTCAATTAGAAAATGATTTTTTTTGTCAGGGACGGTTTAGTGTGTAGAGATCTTACTAGACTATTCCTTACATCCTAATCTTCCTCCTGAGAGATAACTGCTTAGGGTATTAAAATCTTGCTAATGTGCTGTTTCTGAAGTTGCCCTTGTTTGAATAAATATGCCTAATCAATAGTTAAATATGCCTAATCAAATCCTCTTGAAGAGTATTGTTTGGGATCCTATTCTGCTTCATTGATAGTGTTCCTTCTGGCTTTTTTTCTCTTCAAAGTGTAGCATAGTTTCTTTGCTATTGCAAGAAAATAACTATGAGTTCTAGCCTCTTCCCTGAATCTTATCTTTCCAGAAAATATAAAGTACTCCCATTCCTCTGAAGCTTTAGGGCTTAATCCAAAAATTAATAAAGTTTATTTACCCTATTTGCTTGGTCCTAATGCTTCATTTGAGGTAAGGTTATCATACCACTAAAGGTTGTTGACATGCTGACTGATGGATAGATTTAGCCGTAGAGAGGACTCTTGAGACAAAAATGGCAATCATCAATAGCTGGCATTTTTACTTTCTGCCTGTTTCAAGCTTCTCTTCCTGTGTGACCAGGGTGTTGTTGTTGTTTGTTTTGTTTTGTTTTGTTTTTGAGACGGAGTTTCTATCTTGTTGCCCAGGCTGGAGTACAATGGCATGATCTCGGCTCACTGCAACCTCCGCCTCCCGGGTTCAAGCGATTCTCCTGCCTCAGCCTCCTGAGTAGCTGGGATTACAGGCATGTGCCACCACGCCTGGCTAATTTTGTATTTTTAGTAGAGATGGGGGTCTCTCCATGTTGGTCAGGCTGGTCTCGAACTTCTGACCTCAGGTGATCGGCCCGCCTCTGCCTCCCAAAATGCTGTGAGCCACCATGCCCAGCAACCAGGGTGTTTTGAGAAAAGGTAATCAAAATACCACAGGCCAGTCGTGGTGGCTTAACGCCTGTAATCCCAGCAGTTTGGGAGGCCGAGGGGGGCAGATCACCTGAGGTCAGTTCGAGACCAGCCTAGTCAACATGGTGAAACCCCGTCTCTACTGAAAATACAAAAATTAGCCAGAGGCCAGAGAATTGCTTGAATAGGAAGGCCAGTGAGCCGAGATCTCACCGCTGCACTCTAGCCAGGGTGACAGACTCCGTCTCAAAAAAACAAACAAAAAAACCACCACAGTTGATGTTCTCCTCCTTCCTCCTTTCTCCATGAAAAAAGTGGATGAGGTATGTACTTTGGGATTAAGAGGTAGGCACTGGGCACGGTGGCTCATGCCTGTAATCCCAGCACTTTGGGAGGCCGAGGTGGGCGGATCACGAGATCAAGAGACCGAGATCATTCTGGCCAATATGGTGAAACCCTGTCTCTTCTAAAATACAAGAATTAGCTGGGCATGGTGGCGCACGCCTGTAGTCCCAGCTACTCCGGAGGCTGAGGCAGGAGAATCGCTTGAACCTGGGAGGCGGAGGTTGCAGTGAGCCGAGATCGCACCACTGCACTCCAGCCTGGGCGACAGGGTGAGACTCCATCTTAAAAAAAAAAAAAAAAAAATGAGGTAGGTTGTGGAGGGGTGCCTGAAAAATTATAAGGTAAGGCCCTTGAGTTTTTGTTGGCTAAATAAGAAGTCAAATCTGAAAATAGATTCAGTTGATGTAGTCTTTTTTTTTTTTTTTTTTCTCCGAGACGGAGTCTTGCACTGTTGCCCAGGCTGGAGTATAATGGCATGATCTTGGCTCACTGCAACCTCTGCCTCCTGAGTTCAAGCGATTCTCCTGCCTCAGCTTCCCGAGTAGCTGGGATTACAGGCGCCTGCCACCATGCCCGGCTAATTTTTTGTATTTTCAATAGAGACAGGGTTTCACTATGTTGGCCGGGTTGGTCTCCAACTCCTGACCTCTTAATCCGCCCGCCTCGGCCTCCCAAAGTGCTGGCATTACAGGCGTGAGCCACCATGCCTGGCCCATCAGTTGATGTAGTCTTAAGGGGACAAGAGTACATTTAATATTTGGTTGTGAGGTTCTCTGGAAGTGACAAAACTGCTTTCTATGGAGAGTTAGGAATTTTTTTTTTTTTTGAAACGGAGTCTCGCATTGTCACCCGGGCTGGAGTGTAGTGGCTTGATCTCGGCTCACTGAAACTTCCGCCTCTTGGGTTCAAGTGATTCTCCTGCCTCAGCCTTCCAAATAGCTGGGATTACAGGAGTCTGCCACCAGGCCAGCTAATTTTTTTTTGTATTTTTAGTGGAGACAGGATTTCACTATGTTGGCCAGGCTGGTCTCAAGACTCCTGACGTTGTGATCCACCTGCCTCGGCCTCCCAAAGTGCTGGGATTACAGATGTGAGCTACCGTGCCCGGCCAGGAATTTTTTGTGCTATAAATCATATTTTCCTTTTATTAAAGGCAGTGTCAATATCTATAGTATAATTTTGAGGAGGCTGGCTATTTATTGCTGTGTAGAAGCTGGCTTATTAGTGGTCAAGGGGTCATCTAGAATTGACTATAAAGATAGTATTGAGCAGAAAATTCTTAAAATACCTGCATATTTGTTTCAGTCATTAAATTAATGGAAAAAATATAAAAAGAAATATCACAAGTATGCTATGGGGTTCTACCTTAGGGCATTGAAGGTTGAAAAACATTTATTTTCTTATCTTCAGATTAGCATCTCATATCAATAGCCAATAGCTTAAAGCGCTTTTTACTTACTAAACCAGGTCAGAATTTCTCTCTCTCTCTCTTTTTTTTTTTTAGACAGAGTCTCTGTCACCCAGTCTAGAGTGCAGTGGTGTGATCTCGGCTCACTGGCCTTTCTGTTTAAGTGATTCTCCGGCCTCAGCCTCCTGAGTAGCTGGGATTACAGGCATGTGCCACGACACTTGGCTTATTTTTTGTATTTTTAGTAGAGATGGGGTTTCTCTGTGTTGGTCAGGCAGGTCTTGAACTCCTGACCTCAGGTGATCTGCCCGCCTCCGCCTCCCAAAGTGCTGGGATTACAGACGTGAGCTACTGCGCCTGGCCAGAATTTCTTTGTCTAGAATGTGGTTAGCAACTTTTATAAAAACGCATTATTTGCATTTGATTAGCATGCAGTACCCATTCACAGTTCAAAGCTAGTATAGAATTATATCACATGTATGCCCATGAGCATGGAGAAACTATTTTCTTTTTATTTTTTTAAGTTGGAGTTTTGCTCTTGTTGCCCAGGCTGGAGTGCAATGGTGCCATCTCGGCTCACTGCAGCTTCTGCCTCCTGGGTTCTAGCAATTTGCCTACCCCAGCCTCCCAAGTAGCTGGGATTACAGGCACTCGCCACCATGCCCAGCTAACTTTTTTGTATTTTTAGTAGAGAAGGGGTTTTCCCATGCTGGCGAGTCTGGTCTTGAACTTCTGGCCTCAAGTGATCTGCCCGCCTCAGCCTCCCAAAGTGCTGGAATTACAGGCATGAGCCACTGTGCCCGGCCTTTTTATTTTTTAAATTATTTATGTATTTATTTTGAGACAGGATCTCACTCTTGCCCATGCTTGAGTGGTAAGGAGTATGGGATTTCTTGTGCCGGTTCCTTCACATCCTCACTACACTTATCTGCCTTTACAGTGGCTCGATCATAGTTCACTGCATAGCCTTCTGGGCTCAAGGGGTCTTCCAGCCTCAGCCTAATATAGGCACATGCCACCATGACTGGCTAATTTTTTTTTTTTAAGTTTTTTTTTGTAGAGATAGGGCCTTGCAGTGTTGCCCAGGCTGAGGAATTTTATTTATGTTTATTTTATTTATTTATTTATTTATTTATTTATTTATTTATTTATTTATTTATTGAGATGGAGTCTTACACTGTCACCCAGGCTGGAGTGCAGTTGCGCGGTCTCAGCTACTGCAAGCTCCGCCTCCCGGGTTCATGCCATTCTCCTGCCTCAGCCTCCCGCGTAGCTGGACTACAGGCGCCCGCCACCACGCCTGGCTAATTTTTTGTGTGTGTTTTTAGTAGAGGCGGGGTTTCACCATGTTAGCCAGGATGGTCTCGATTCCTGACCTCGTGATCCACCCACATCGGCCTCCCAAAGTGCTGGGATTACAGGTGTGAGCCACCATGCCTGGTCTAGAAATTATTTTATATTTTATACCATTGCCTTATAAGTTCTCAAGCAACTGGAAAATACAATCAGAACGTATTCCTCAAGATTTCAAGGATATTTTACACAAAGTTCTATTGTCTGATTCCTTAGCAGTTGTTACTACTGTTTCCCTAACCTCTAATCTTCTATTGGGTTATTAGTCTTAGAATTGAATTTTGAGAGGTAAGGGCTTGAATTTGAACATAGAAATTTATACAGGTCTGATCAGTAGTTCTTGACATTGTATTATCTGGAAACAAATCTTTAGAACTGAGCTTAAGATGTTTAATGACATTTTGTAGACAGAGTATGATTTCAGTGTAGTTGTTTTTGTTTCTTTCTAGATCTAGTTCAGAGATGAAGTATATCAACTTTTTTTTCCTTTTTGACCCAATGCTAGCAGAAAAACAACACCTTTTAATCATATTTAGTATTTGAAAATGTGTATACAGGTTCCTTTTTATTTTATTTATTTCTTACAGGTTCCTTTTTAATCAGCTTTATTGAGATAGAGTTCATATACTGTATGGTTCATACCACATATGGTTCATATACCATACAGTATATGAACTCACTTTAAGAGTATAATTCAGTGGGTTTAAGGGTATAATTCATTCATTTTAAGGGTATAATTCAGTGGCTTTTAGTATATTTTCTTTTTTTTCTTCTTTTTTTCTTTTTTCGAGACAGGGTCTTGCTCTGTTACCCAGGCTGGAGTGCAGTGACGCAGCCTCAGCTCACTGCAACCTCCACCTCCCAGGTTCAAGCGAATTCTCTTGCCTCAGCATCCTGAGTAGCTGGAACTACAGGCTCACGCCACCACACCCAGCTAATTTTTATATTTTCAGTAGAAACAGGGTTTCACCATGTTGCCCAGGCTGGTCTCGAACTCCTGGCCTCAAGTGATCTGCCTGCCTCAGCCTCCCAAAGTGCTGGGATTACAGGCATGAGCCACCGTGCCTGCCTGTTTTGTAGTGTATTCAAACAGAGTTGTACAACTGTCACCACAATCAGTTTTAGAACCCCAAAAAGAAACCCTGTACTCTTTACCAGTCACTCCCTATCTTCCGTCCACTAACCCCTGGCATCCACTAATTTACATGACCTCTATGAATTTGCCTATTCTGAACATTTTATAAATGGAATTCTAAATACACTACCTTTTATATCTGGATGCTTTTACTAAGCATGTGTATTTTTGAAATTGACTTTAAAGCTTGTTGGCCCCTGGAAGAGTAAATTACTCTCCACCCCAAGTATTCCCTCTACCCCTCAGCTTTGCCTGTAAGTTTCTTTTTAAAAAAATCACACATACATTGTTGTAGTAGATTTAAGAATAAGTATTTTGCTGACCCAAGGTTCTTTTGCTTCTTTCTAGATCAGTGCCTTGCAGGTTTTATTTTACAGAGCTTAATAGAATCAGAAATCTCTTTAAAACTCCAGTCTCATATCCAGTTATCACTCACCATCTCTGTGTTTGCAGCAATAGCCAGGCCTGGCCCAGAGGGACTTGATCTCCACTTTTGGTTTTTAGACTTTTCTGTGGCTTTTACCACCTGCTGTGTATCCTTGACCTCATACTGCTGGACTCCTTTGGATGGATACCAGCAGGATGGTTCAGGCTCCAGTGGGCACTTTTTAAAATTCTCTCCTTCTGTTCAGATAGACAGAGCTCAGGCAGATCACCAAGTCTGTTGCCTGTGTAACCAGGAAAGAGATGCTAGTTTTCTTTTAGGCACTCCCATTTGTTTCTGTTGGAACCTTCCTCACTTAGTTGATGGAAGGGAAGCAAAAGACCCAGAACTCCATCTCAAATTAATGACTTAACAATTCTTGAATTTTCTCTTATCTCCTAGTTAACTCTTTTTCTTATCTCCAGGAGGTCAGTTTTAATTATTGTTGTTTATTCATTTATTTTCATGGAGACAGGGTCTTACTGTGTTGTCCAGGCTGGCCTTGAACCCCTGGCCTCAAGGAATCTTTTCACCTCAGCCTCCCAAAGTGCTGGAATTACAGGCATGAGTCACCACACCCAGCCTGATATTTTTCAGTTGATGTATCATAGTTGTGCCTAAGCATAATTTTTTAATTTTAATTTTTTATTTTTGGGGACAGGGTCTCCCTCTGTCGCCCAGGCTGGAGTGCAGTGATGCGATCTCAGCTCACTGCAACCTCCACCTTCTGGGTTAAAGCGATTCTCCTGCCTCAGCCTCCCGAGTAGCTGGGACTACAGGTACCCACCATCACACCCGGCTAAATTTTTTGTGTGTATTTTAGTAGAGACGAGATTTCGCTGTGTTGCCCAGGGCGGTCTCGAACTCCTGAGCTCAGGCAATCCGCCTGCCTCGGCCTCCCAAAGTGCTGGGATTACAGGCATGAACCACCACGCCCGGCCAAGCGTAATATTTTTAAGGGTCATCAATGTTGTGTCATGAATCAATCAGTGTTTCGTTCTTTTTTATGGTTGAATAATATTCCATGGTATGGATTTGTCACATTTTGTTTATCCATTCATTAGTTGATAGACATTTTGGATTTCCACTTTTTTTTTTTTTTTTTGCTATTATAAATAGTGATACTATGTACAAATTTTTGTGTGGAAATATGTCCTCATATCTCTTGGTTATATACCAAAGAGTGGAAGTGCTGGGTCATATGGTAACTACGTGTTTAACATTTTGAGAAACTGCTAAACTGTTTTCCAAAGTTGCTGTACCGTCGTACATTCCTGCCAGCAATATATGAGGATGCCAGTTCCTTCACATGTTCACTACACTTATCCACCTTTTTTATAATAACTAATGGTGGGTGTGAGATGGTATCTCATTGTAGTTTTGATTTGTATTTCTCTGATGGCTAAATGGCTAATGATGTTTGAACTTTTTGTTTGAGACAGAATCTCACTCTGTCCAGATTCAAGCGATTCTCCTGCCTCAGCCTCCCTAGCAGCTGGGATTACAGGCACATGCCACCACACCCAGCTAATTTTTTGTATTTCTAGTAGAGACAGGGCATTACCATGTTGTTCAGGCTGGTGTCGAACTCCTGACCTCAAAGGATCCGCCTCCCTGGGCCTCCCAAAGTGCTGGATTACAGGCTAGAGCCACCATGCCAGGCCTTATGTTTGAACATCTTTTATGTGCTTATTGGACATTTGTGTATCTTCTTTGGAGAAATGTCTGTTCAAAGTCTTTGTCCATTTTTAATTGGATTGTCTTTTTGTCTTTTGATGTGTAAGAGTTCTTTATGTGTTTTGGATACAAGTTTGTTAGATATATGATTTGCAAATCTTTTCTCCAATTTTTGTGGACTTTTGCTTTCTTTTTTTGTTTTGTTTTTGTTGTTGTTGTTGTTGTTGTTGTTTTGGTCGGGGGACAGTCTTGCTCTGACCACCCAGGCTGGAATGGAGTGGCGCGATCTTGGTTCACTGCAACCTCTGCCTCCTGAGTTCAAGCTATCCTGCTTCAGCCTCCCGAGTAGCTGGGACCCAGGTGTGTGCCACCACTCCCAGCTAATTTTTTATTTTTAGTAGAGACCGGGTTTCACCATGTTGGCCAGGCTGGTCTTGAACTACTGACCTCAGGTGATCTGCCTGCCTCAGCCTCCCAAAGTGCTGGGATTACAGTCATGAGCCACTACACCCTGATTCTTTTTGCTGGCTTTCTTTCTTTTTTTTTCTTTTTTTTTTTGAGACGGAGTCTCGCTCTGTTGCCAGGCTGGAGTGCAGTGGCATGATCTCGGCTCACTGCAACCTCTGCCTCCCGGGTTCAAGCCATTCTCCTGCCTCAGCCTCCCGAGTAGCTAGGACTATAGGCACATGCCACCATGCGCAGCTAATTTTTGTATTTTTAGTAGAGACGGGGTTTCACCATGTTGGCCAGGATAGTCTCGATCTCTTGACCTCGTGATCCGTCCGCCTGGGCCTCCCAAAGTGCTAGGATTACAGACGTGAGCCACCACACTCAGCCTCTTTTTGCTTTCTTGATGGTGTCTTTTGAAACAAAAGTTTTTACTTTTGATAAAGTCCAATTTGTCTATTTTGTTTGTTTGTTTTTGTTAAGAAGCTTTGCCTAACCCAAAGTCACGAGAATTTTCTCTTAGGTTTTCTTCTAAGAGTTTTATAGTTTTAGCTGTTTCTGTGATCCATTTTGAGTGAATTTTTGTGAATGGTATGAGGGAGTGATCCAACTTCATTCTTTTGTGTGTGGATATCAAGTTGTCCCAGCACTATTTGTTTAAACCACTGTTCTTTTCCCCCATTGAATTATCTTGGCATCATTGTCAGAGATAAATTGACCGTAAATGTGAGGGTTTTATTTCTGAACTCTCAAGTCCATTTCATTGGTCTACATGTCCCTATGCCAGTAATACACTATCTTGGTTACTGTAGCTTTTTAGTACGTTTTGAAATGTTTTTAAAATTTGTTTTTCATCTAAATTTTAGGATTAATTTGTCAATTTCTGCACAAAAGGCACCTGGGTTTCTATAGGGGTTATGCAGAATCTGTAGATCAACTGGGGGAGTATTACAGGCATGAGCCACCGTGCCTGGCTGACTGAGTTTTTCATAGATGTACTCTATCAGGTTTAGGAAGTTCCCTTTTATTCCTAGGTTGTTGAGTCTATTTTATATTACTTTTTTAGAGACAGTCTTGCTCTGTCCCTCAGGCTGTAGCACAGTGGCTCAATCATAGCTCACTGCAGCCTTGAACTCCTAGGTTCAAGAGATCCGCCTGCCTCAGCCTTCTTAGTAGCTGGGATTACATGCATGCACCACCATACTGGGCTAATTTTTTAAAATTTTTTATAGAGACAGGGTCTTATTACTATGTTGCCCAGACTGGCATTGAGTCTTTTTATCATTAATGAGCACTGAATTTTGTCAAGTGCCTTTATAATACCTATTGTGATGATCATAGGGTTTTGTTCTTTAGTCTACCGATACGCTATATTGCATTAAGTGATTTTTTTGAATGTTAAACCAACCTTGCATTTTTTTGGTGTATAAGTCTTATTTGATCAATGTGTATTATCCTTTTATATGGTGCTGGATTTAGTTTGCTACTATTTTGTTGAGGATTTTTGTGTCTATATTCATAAGAGATATTGGTCTGTAGTTTCTTGTGATGTCTTTGTCTGGTTTTAGAATCAGGGTAATGCTGGCCTCATAGAATGAATTGGGAAGTGTTGTCTTCTTTTCTATGTGATGGGAGAGTTTGTGAATCATTGGTATTAATTTTTCTGTAAATGTTTGGTAGAATTCACAAATAAAGGCATCTGAGCCTGGGCTCTTCTTTGTGGGAAGTTTTTGGCTTTTTTTTTCTTTAAAAATTTTCATTGTGGCTGGGCATGGTGGCTCACGCCTGTAATCCCAGCACTTTGGGGGGCCAAGACGGGTGAATCACCTGAGGTCGGGAGTTTGAGACCAGCCTGAGCAACGTGGAGAAACCCCATCTCTACTAAAAATACAAAATTAGCTGGGCATGATGGTGCATGCATGTAATCTCAGCTAATTGGAAGGCTGAGGAGGGAGAATCACTTGAACCACGGAGGCAGAGGTTGCAGTGAGCCTAGATCGTGCCATTGTACTCCAGCCTGGGCAACAAGAGCAAAACTCTGTTTCAAGGGAAACAAAGTTTTCATAACATAAAAATTACCATCTTAGTCATTTCTTTTCTTTTTTTTTTTTTGTTGGAGACGGAGTCTTGCTCTGTCACCTATGCTGGAGTGCAATGATTGCAGTCTTGGCTCACTGCAACCTCTGCCACCTGGGCTCAAGAGATTCTCCTGCCTCAGCCTCCTGAGTAGCTGGGATTACAGGCATGCGCCACCATGCCCAGTTAATTTTTGTATTTTTAGTAGAGACGGGGTTTCTCCATGTTGACCAGGCTGGTCTCTAACTCCTCACCTCAAGTGATCCGCCCGCCTCGGCCTCCCAAAGTGCTGGGATTACAGGCATGAGCCACCACGCCCGGCCTTAAAAATTTTTTTAATGTACAGTTGAGTAGTATTTAATACATTCACATTGTTGTGTACCCAGTTTCCAGAACTCTTCATCCTACAGAACTGAAACTCCATACCCATTAAATGAGTCCCCATTCTCTTTCCCCCAGCTCATGGCAAACAGCATTCTATTTTCAGTCTCTATGAATTTGATTAGTTTAGATACTTCATACTGTAAGTGGAATCATATGGTATTTGTCTTTTAGTGACTGCCTAATTTAAAAAAAATTTTTTTGAGACGGAGTCCTGCTCTGTCGCCCAGGCTGGAGTGCAGTGGCACCATCTCTGCTCACTGCAACCTCCACCTCCCAGGTTCAAGTGATTGTCCTGCCTCGGCCTCCCACGTAGCTGGGATTACAGGTGCTCGCCACAACACCCGGCTAATTTTTGTATTTTTAGGTAGAGACTGGGTTTCACCATGTTGGCCAGGCTGGTCTCGAACTCCTGACCTCAAATTATCCACCTGCCTTGGCCTCCCAAAGTGCTGGGATTACAGGCGTGAGCCACTGTGCCCAGCCTCCATGTTGTTTTTCACAACACCTGTATCATTTACATTTCCACCAACAGTACACAAGAATTTCAGTTTCTCCACATCCTTGCTAGCAGTTGTTATTATCTGTTTTTTTTTAATGGTTTCTTTTTTCCTTTTTCTTTTTTTTTTTTTTTGAGACGGTCTTATTCTTGCTCATGCTGGAGTGCAGTGGTGCAATGTGATAGCTCACTGCAGCCTCAACCTCTGGGCTCAAGCAGTCCTGCCACCTCAGCCTCCACATAGGTGGGACTGCAGGTGTGCACCACCACTTGTGGCTAATTTAAAAAATTTTTTCGTAGAGACAGAGTCTCACAGTGTTACCCAGGCTGGTCTTGAACTTCTGAGCACAAGTGATCCTCCCACCTCAGCCTCCCAAAATAATGAGATTAGAGACATGAGCCAACATGCCCAACCAGTTTTGTTTGTTTGTTTTGTTTTGTGTTTTTGAGACAGAGTCTCACTCTATTGCCCAGGCTGGAGTGCAGCGGCATGATCTCAGCTCACTGCAACCTCCGCCTCCCAGGTTCAAGTGATTCTCATGCCCCAGCCTCCTGAGAAGCTGGGATTACAGGTGTACCACCACACCCAGTTATTTTTGTATTTTTAGTAGACATGGGGTTTTGCCATGTTGGCCAGGCTGGTCCCGAACTCCTGACCTCAAGTGATCTGCTCCCCTCAGCCTCCCAAGGTGCTAGAATTAAGTTTTTCTTTCTTTCTTTCTTTCTTTTTTTTTTTTTTTTTGAGACAGAGTCTCACTCTGTCACCCAGGCAGGAGTGCAATGGCACGGTCTTGGCTCATTGTAACCTCTGCCTCCCAGATTCAAGTAGTGATTCTCCTGTCTCAGCCTCCCAAGTAGCTGGGATTACAGGCATGCACCACCACGCCCAGCTAATTTTTTGTATTTTTAGTAGAAACGGGGTTTCACCATGTTGGTCAGGCTGATCTCAAACTCCTGACCCCAAGTGATCCACCCGCCTTGGCCTCCCAAAGTGTTGGGATTACAGGCGTGAGCCACTGTGCCTGGTTTTATTTTTATTATTATTATTTTTAATAGTTCCTATTCTAATGGGTATGAGGTAGTGAGGTGGGTGGTTGTGGTGTTTTTATGAATGTTTAATTGGAAATGGGTGGCCATTGTGTGCAGGAAAAACCTCCTAAATTGTGTCAAACTCCTGGAAAATGAAATATCATTCCAGTTGCAAGAATATCTTTTTTTTTTTTTTTTTTTTTTTAAGACAGAGTCTCACTCTGTCACCAGGCGGGAGTGCAGTGGCACGATCTCGGCTCACTGCAACCTCCGCCTCCTGGTCCGCCTCCCGGGTTCAAGTGATTCTTCTGCCTTAGCCTCCCAAGTAGCTGGGACTACAGGCGCGTGCCACCACTCCTGGCTAATTTTTTTGTATTTTTAGTAGAGATGGGGTTTCACCATGTTGGCCAGGATGGTCTCAATCTCTTGACCTAGAGATCCGCCTGCCTCGGCCTCCCAAAGTGGTGGGATTACAGGGGGGTCACCGTGCCCAGCCACAAGAAGATCTTGAGCATGTGAATGATCAGAAATGATTTAGCCTATGTAGGCACTAGGCCAGGTAGTGAAATTCAGGGAAAATAATTCAGATGCTTCTGAGCTATCACTTATGAACTAAGAAACAGCTTAAAGCCATTATAGTGTGTTTCCTGAAGATGAAAGCATATGGTAAGATGAAATAGTGATTATTTTTTAAAAATTACTACTCCAGAAAGGAAAAGTTTACTAATTTTTATTACTAAAGTTTACTGTTGGTGGGTGCGGTGGCTCACACCTGTAATCCCAGCACTTTGGGAGGCCGAGGCAGGCGGATCACCTGAGGTCAGGAGTTCGAGACCAGCCTGACCAATATGGTGAAACCCCATCTCTGCTAAAAATAAAAAATTAGGCCGGGCGCGGTGGCTCATGCCTGTAATCCCAGCACTTTGGGAGGCCGAGGCAGGTGGATCACGAGGTCAGGAGATTGAGACCATCCTGGCTAACACGGTGAAACCCCGTCTCTGCTAAAAATACAAAAATCAGCCGAGCGTCTTGGCAGGCACCTGTAGTCCCAGGTACTCAGGAGTTTTGAGACGGGAGAATGGCGTGAACCCGGAAGGCGGAGCTTGAAGTGAGCCGAGATTGCGCCGCTTCAGTCCAGCCTGGACGACAGAGTGAGACTCTGTCTCTAAAAAAATAAATAAATAAAAATAAAAAATTAGCTGGGTGTGGTGGCACGCACCTGTACTCCCAGCTACTCGGGAGGCTGAGGCAGGAGAATTGCTTGAACCCGGGAGATGGAGGTTGCGGGGAGCCAAGATTGCGCCACTGCACTCCAGCCTGGCGACAGAGTGAGACTCTTTCTCAGAAAAAAATATGATAATTAAAAGTTGAGACGTTCTTCGCCGAGAGTGGTCGGGGTTTCCTGCTTCAACAGTGCTTGGACGGAACCCGGCGCTCGTCCTGCACCCCGGCCGGCCGCCCATAGCCAGCCCTCCGTCACCTCTTCACCATGCCCTCGGACTGCCCCAAGGCCCCCGCCGCAGCTCCAGCGCCGCGTAGCCACCACTGCCGCTGCCGCCGCCTCTCCTTAGTCGCCGGCATGACGACCGCGTCTACCTCGCAGGTGCGCCAGAACTACCACCAAGACTCAGAGGCCGCCATCAACCGCCAGATCAACCTGGAGCTCTACGCCTCCTCCATTTACCTGTGCGTGGCTTACTACTTTGACAGCGATGATGTGGCTTTGAAGAACTTTGCCAAATACTTTCTTCACCAATCTCATGAGGAGAGGGAACATGCTGAGAAATTGATGAAGCTGTAGAACCAACGAGGTGGCCGAATCTTCCTTCAGGATATCAAGAAACCAGACTGTGCGGGGAGAATGCGATGGGAGAGCGGGCTGAATGCGATGGATTACATTTGGAAAAAATTGTGCATTTTGCATTACATTTGGAAAAAAATGTGAATCAGTCACTACTGGAACTGCACAAACTGGCCACTGACAAAAATGACCCCCATTTGTGTGACTTCATTGAGACACATTACCTGAATGAACAAGTGAAGGCCATCAAAGAATTGGGTGACCACGTGACCAACATGCACGAGATGGGAGCGCCCGAATCTGGCGTGGCAGAATACCTCTTTGACAAGCACACCCTGGGAGACAGTGATAATGAAAGCTAAGCCTCAGGCTAATTTCCCCATAGCCATAGGGTGACTTACCTTGTCACCAAGGCAGCGCATGTATGTTGGGGTTTCCTTTACCTTTTCTATAAGTTGTTCCAAGACACCCACTTAAGTTCTTTGATTTGTACCATTCCTTCAAATAAATAAATTTGGTACCCTCCCCCCCCCCAAAAAAAAAATGTACTGTGGGCTGGCGTAGTGGCTCATGCCTAAATCTCAGCACTTTGGGAGGCTGAGGCGGGAGGATCACCTGAGGTCGGGAGTTTGAGACCAGCCTGGGCAACATGGTGAAACCCCGTGTCTACTAAAAATATAAAAACTAGCCAGTCATGGTGGCACACACCTGTAATCCCGGCTACTTGGGAGGCTGAGGCATGAGAATCACTTGAACCTGGGCTGCGGAGGTTGTAGTAAGCTGAGATCATGCCACTGTACTCCAGCCTGGGTGACAGGGAGACATTCTCTCTCTCAAAAAAAAAAAAAAAAAAAAAAAACAAAACAAACCAACAAAACAAAGTAATCCAGGAACAACAACATGATGAAGGACTGCATGCAGGACTCAGTGATGGATGGTGGAAGACAGCCAGGAAGTTAAGCATGACTCTGGTATTAAGTGTTGTCTGGGAGAGTTAAGATTCCATTTACAGAAATAAGACCTGTAGGGGAAGCTCTTGATTTTTTTTTTTTTGCAGACTGCTGATTTCCTGATTACATGTGTTAAGTTTGAGGTATAGAGAGAAAGAACATCCTGGCCGGGTGCAGTGGCTCACACCCGTAATCCCAGCACTTTGGGAGGCCAAGGTGGGCAGATCACGAGGTCCAGGAGATCGAGACCATCCTGGCCAACATGGTGAAACCCCGTCTCTACTAAAAATACAAAAATTAGCTGGGCGTGGCGGCGCGTGCCTGTTATCCCAGCTACTCAGGAGGCTGAGGCAGGAGAATTGCTTGAACCCGAGAGGCAGAGGTTGTGATGAGCCGAGATCGCGCCACTGCACTCCACCCTGGCAACAGAGCTAGACTCTGTCTCAAAAAAAAAAAAAAGAAAGAAAAAAAGAACATCCTGTAGAAACAGGCAGTCAGAGGTATAGAACTACACAGAATCCAAGAGATCTTTCAAGAAAAGTGACATGCAGCAAGAGAAACTATCAAGGGGGTAAACAACCTATAGAATGGGAGAAAATATTCACAAAGTATACATCCAACAAAAGTCTAATATCCAAAATCTATAAGGAACCTAACAAGCAAAAAGCAAATAACCCCCTTAAAAAGTGGGCAAAGGACATGAACAGATACTTCTCAAAAGACGTACATGTGGCCCACAAACATGAAAAAACGCCCATTTCTAATCATCAGACAAATGCAAATTAGAACCACAAAGAGATACCATCTCACACCAGTCAGAACAGCTTTTGTTAAAATGTCAAAAAATGAGAAACGTTGGTGAGGCTGCAGAGGAAAGCAGACACTTGTACACTGTTGGTGAAGGTGTAAATTAATTTAGCGTAGGCACAGTCAGTTTGGAGATTTCTCAGAGAACTAAGAGTGGAACTACCATTAGACCCAGCAATCTGATGGCTGGATATACGGCCAAAGGAAAATAAATCATTCTGCCAAAAGAACATATGTACCTGTATGTTCATTGTGGCACCATTCACAATAGCAAAAACATTGAATCAACTCATGTGCCCATCAGTGGCGGACTAGAAAAGAAAAGAAAATATGGTACATAGCCATCATGGAATACTATGCACCCATTAAAAATAATGAAATAATGTCTTTGCAACAACATGAATGTAGCTGGAGGGCATTATCCTAAGCAAACTAACACAGAAACAGAAAACCAAATACTGCGTGTTCTCACGCAGTGAGAGTGGGAGCTGAACATCAAGTACACATGGATGTAAAGATGGCAACAATAGACATGGGTCTACTAGAGGTGGTGGTGCGGCAGGGTGGGGGTGGGGGTTGTGTGGCAGAGGAACAGCTGAAAAACTACCTATTTGATACTATACCCAGCACCTGGGAAACGGGTTCAGTCATACCCCAAACCTCAGCATCACACAGTATACCTTTCTAACAAACTTACACATGTATTCTGTGATTCTAAAATAAACATTGAAAAATAAAAAAAAAACTGACATGGTTTGTACTGTTTAATCTGACATAATGGCTAGGGGAAATGAAGTCTGCAGAATGGCTGTTTACGGATGTTGTTGTTGTTGTTGAGATGAGGTCTCACTATGTTGCCCAGGCTTGAACTCCTGGCCTCAAGCAGTCCTCCTGCCTTGACCTCCCAAAATGTTGAGATTACATGCATGAGCCATTGCCAAAACGGCTATTTGGATTGCTGTTAAGGTTATTACATTCTCTGTGTAGTAAGACCTTGAAGGAGAAGGATTTGAGATCAGGAGTTTAAGAAAAAATGTTAATCTAGGAAGAGAGGATAATTTCTGTGTTTGGCCAGTTGCAATGGCTCACGCCTGTAATCCCAGCGTTTTGGGAGGCCGAGCTGGGCAGATCACTTGAGCTCAGGAGTTTGAGAAGAGCCTGGGCAACATGGTGAAGCCCCGTCTCTACTGAAAATACAAAAATTGGCTGGGCGTGGTGGCAGGTGCCCACTGTAATTTCAGCCACTCAGGAGACTGAGGCAGGAGAATTGCTTGAACCTGGAAAGTGGAGGATATGGTGAGCCTAGATCGCGCCACTCTACTCCAGCCTGGGAGACTCCATCTCAAAAAAAAAAGAAAACAAGATGCTGAAATGAAGTAATTACCACAGTCAATGTGATCCTATAACTTTGTTTTGTTTTAGAGATGGGGTCTCCCTCTGTCACCCAGGCTGGAGTGCAGTGGTGCATCATAGCTTTCTGCAGCCTCCACCTCCTGGGCTCAGGTGGTCCTCTTGCCTCAGTGTTCCGAGTAGTTAGGACTGACTGCAGGTGCATGCTGCTATGCCTGGCTAACTTTAAAATTTTTTTGTAGAGGCGGGGTCTTGCTATGTTGCCTAGGCTGGTCTCCAACTCCTGATCTCAATCAGTCCTCCTGCCTACCTTCCCAGAGCGCTGGGATTACAGGTGTGAGCCATCGCACCTAGCCAATCTCATAACATTTTATGACTAGCAAACTTAGTAGTTCTGATTCAGGCATAAATCAGTTGGTGGGGTTATACAAGGTTGGGTGAGTTTTTCTAGATTTCTAAGAGACCATGTTGAAATACTTGGCTCTGTCTCAGTAAGGGATAGAGAGAAGCAAAGGTGTGGGTAAAGGTTATGAGCAGACATGTAAAGGGGGCAAATTAAAGTGTTTAGGGAAGGTGAAACAGTTCCAAATCATAATATAGATCCCAAGCCTCACCAAGAAGTGAAGGAGAGGGTAATTGTGCGATAGTTCTCAGGACTGAGACCTCAAGGTGTAAGACGAATCTTTATTGTGGGTGGTCCTCTTTGAGAAAAAGAACAAAAAAGAAAAATGTGAAATGGGTGCTAAATTTCAGAGCAGAATATACATATATGTGTATGTGTGTGTGTATATATATATATATTTTTATGTAGCAAATTCCAGTTTACAAAGGGCTTTTATGTGTTTTGCATCATTACAACAGTTCTGTGATGATGTGGATGTGGTGGATATTGTAATTCCACATCACAGAGGATAAAATTGAGGCACACCATAAGGTAGCTGACCAGAGATCATGCAGTATATGGTAGAATGGCAACTTGAGGCCAGTTCTTAGGTGTGTTTGTTGTCCTTATTCAGAATGGAACAATGTGGTTTATTGTACAAAAATTTAAAAATGAATGTCGAAAAGTAGAAATTATTACCCAAATCTCACCCTCTGTGGTTGTTTGCTATGTGATCTTCCAGACTCACATATACATGTAGATAATTTTTTTTTTTTTTTTTTGAGACGGAGTCTTGCTCTGTCGCCCTGGCTGGAGTGCAGTGGCGCAATCTCGGCTCACTGCAGGCTCTGCCTCCTGGGTTCACGCCATTCTCCTGCCTCAGCCTCCCAAGTAGCTGGGACTACAGGCGCCCACCATCACCTCCAGCTAATTTTTTGTATTTTTAGTAGAGACGGGGTTTCACCATGTTAGCCAGGATGGTCTCGATCTCCTGACCTCATGATCCGCCTGCCTGGGCCTCCCAAAGTGCTGGGATTACAGGAGTGAGCCACTGTGGCCGTCCTCACATGTAGATACTTTTTTAACTTTTTGCTTTTAACCACTTAAGATATTGTGAACTCATTTCCAAATTAACATATATTTGCTTTTAACAGCTACATTTCCACTGGAGTTACGTACCATTTGTAATCTATTCCTGGAAATTTAGATGGTTACAACTGTTTTTTATTTTATTTATTTATTTATTTAGAGACGGAGTCTGACTCTGTCACCCAGGCTGGAGCGCAGTGGTGTGATCTTGGCTCACTGCAACTTCCACCTCCGGGGTTCAAGTGATTCTCCTGCCTCACCCTTCCGAGTAGCTGGGACTACGGGCGCACACCACCACGCCTGGCTAATTTTTGTATTTTTAGTAGAGACGGGGTTTCACCATGTTGGCCAGGATGGTATTGATCTCTTGACTTCATGATCTGCCGGCCTTAGCCTCCCAAAGTGCTGGGATTACAGGTGTGAGCCACCACGCCTGGCCTCAACTGTTTTTTATTATAAATAATGCTGTAGGCCGGGCGCGGTGGCTCACTTATGTAATCCCAGCACTTTGGGAGACTGAGGCGGGTGGATCCCGAGATCAGGAGATCGAGACCATTCTGGCTAACAAGGTGAAACCCCGTCTCTACTAAAAATACAAAAAATTAGCCGGGTGTGGTGGTGGGTGCCTGTAGTCCCAGCTACTTGGGAGGCTGAGGCAGGAGAATGGCGTGAACCTGGGAGGCGAAGCTTGCAGTGAGCAGAGATCGCACCACTGCCCTCCAGGCTGGGCGACAGAGCGAGACTCCGTCTCAAAAAATAATAATAAATAAATAAATAAATAAAGCTGTGTACAGCCTGGCCAACACTTTGGGAGGCCGAGGCAGGCAGATCACAAGGTCAGGAGTTCGAGACCAGCCTGACCAACATGGTGAAACCCCATCTCTACTAAAAATACAAAAGTTAGCCGGGCATGGTGGCACATGCCTGTAATCTCAGCTATTCAGCAGGCGGAGGCAGGAGAATCGCTTGAACCCACGAGGCGGAGGTTGCAGTGAGCCAAGATCGCGCCACTGCACTCCAGCTTGGGTGACAGGGCGAGACTCTGTCTCAAAAAAAAAAAGAAGAAAAAATCCTTTATTCTGGTTTTCCCGTAGCTTCCACAGATCCAAAAGGGTCAGGTTTATTTCCAGTAGCCAAATATTCTGCCATCTGGACTGAGATATCTCCTAGGTTGAGGTTATTATAGAGGTAGTAACCTGATTCTTTCTTCCTTTTCTCCTTCCCCTTTCCTCCTTTGCCTCCCTCCTCTTTTCTTCCTCTGTATTTATTTTATCATTCCTTCTTCCTTTCTTATTTCTAGGCCATATAGGCCAGCCAGGGAAAGGTTAGTAAGGGGTGACATTGATCCCTATGACCTGAGGAATATTCTTCGACCTTGAGACATGCCGATTATGCTCTTCTTTTCCTAGGATGCTCACAACTGTATTCCTGAGCTGGACAGTGAGACAGCCATGTTTTCTGTCTACGATGGACATGGAGGTAACTTTAACAGATCATATTGGTAACATTCTAGGACCCCAATTCCAGACGTTCCAGGGCAAGAACAGGTCCCTTTGTTCATTTACTTTCCAGGGTCTGGCCCTCATTATCATTTCCTGCGTGGTGCTGTTTTTCTGTATTCTGTCATTCTTTTTTCCCAGTAGGTACTGTATTGGTTTATAATCTCACCAGGACTTGTTTTAATCCAAAGAGCCTCTATCTTTTTTTATTTTTATTTTTTAAAATTTTTAGGCTGGGCACGCGGTAGGTCACACCTGTAATCCCGGCACAGTGGATCACGAGGTCAGGAGTTCGAGACCAGCCTGACCAATATGGTGAAACCCCATCTCTACTAAAAATACAAAAATTAGCTGGGCGTAGTGGTGGGCGCCTGTGGTCCCAGCTGCTCGGAAGGCTGAGGCAGGAGAATCGCTTGAACCTGGGAGGTGGAGGTTGCAGTGAGCCAAGACCATGCCACTGCACTCCAGCCTGGGCAACAGAGCAAGACTCTTGTCTTAAAAAACAAAAAAGTGTACCCAGTTGAGCTGATTCTTTATCTTTTTTTCACTGGAGAACTAAGTATACAGGTGAGAAAAGACGAGATATTTATACCCGAGAGAATTGATGGTGAAATCCATTTTTTTGGATCAGAACTTCCCCAAACAGTGTCCTTCAAATAGGGTTCAGGGGTGCTAAGATATTTATCCCCTCAACCCTTGGGGTTCACTCCAGTATGGCATATAAATATTGTATCACTTTCTATGTGTGGGGAGCAGTGCTCCAGGTGACCTTCCTTCCTTTCCTTCTAGGGGAGGAAGTTGCCTTGTACTGTGCCAAATATCTTCCTGATATCATCAAAGATCAGAAGGCCTACAAGGAAGGCAAGCTACAGAAGGTCTGTCTGCTTACACCGCCCATTCCTCACTTGTGTAGGCTTTTCCCTTGTTCTCTAGCCCTTGGGCTTTTCCTTTCTTTTTGTCCTCTAGCTGCTGCTGCTTATTTACTCTTGAAGAATTCTGTTCCTAAAACGAGCTTATTGGCCGCCTTTTAGACTTGCCTTATTATTCCTAGGCCTCTGAGCTGTTTTTATCTGTGAGTGTCTCTTAGTGTGGTGGCTCACACTCTTAATTTGTATTCCATCCTTGTGCTCAGGATTGTATATAGGGAGTTCATTTTGTACTAGTCTTAGACTATTTTGCTTATATTCAGGCTTTAGAAGATGCCTTCTTGGCTATTGACGCCAAATTGACCACTGAAGAAGTCATTAAAGAGCTGGCACAGATTGCAGGGCGACCCACTGAGGATGAAGATGAAAAAGAAAAAGTAGCTGATGAAGATGATGGTGAGTGTGGCATCCCTTGTTTGAGGGGAAATCAGCATTTTAAGAAATATTCTTTAATATTACTTATCAATTCTAAGATAGGATGGCTTTCTAGGGACCTGGGGAGTCCTTATGTTAAAGAAACCTATGATGTTCTCCTGCATTGTATGTGGTTATGAAAAGGAGGGAGAGAATTATCTTCGTTGAGTGGCATCTGAGCTGTAAGCATTGTATATACATTATCTTTTGTCATTGTGATGGGGTCTTCCTGGTTCCTGCTAGTATTTATGTGCTTTTTTTTCCCCTCAAGACTGGAGCAGTTATTAGCCCCAATAGCCAATCATTAAGCCTAAATCCTAATTCACAGTAGCATTGTGGGCTTCCTGGATCCTCAGCCAGAATAGGGTTTTTACAACTTAACAATAAAAAATGAGACGTCAGAGGGGAAGTATAGTAACTAGTGTTGTTTTGATTAAGAAGGGGATGAAACACAAAAACCAAAAGAAGTCTGTGGAGGAGGAGGAGCTAGGGCATGTTCTTCTGAGACTTGAGCGAGAGGAACCTTGGGAGTGGGAGGTTGTGGGGAAGTTAGAGGCTGCAAGGGCTGTTGAGGTAGTGAGAGGGACGGATCCCATGAGGAGTCTGGCATGGGGGCTCTGATTTAGCCTCTTCCCTGCAGTGGACAATGAGGAGGCTGCACTGCTGCATGAAGAGGCTACCATGACTATTGAAGAGCTGCTGACACGCTACGGGCAGAACTGTCACAAGGGCCCTCCCCACAGCAAATCTGGAGGTGGGACAGGCGAGGAACCAGGGTCCCAGGGCCTCAATGGGGAGGCAGGACCTGAGGACTCAACTAGGGAAACTCCTTCACAAGAAAATGGCCCCACAGCCAAGGCCTACACAGGCTTTTCCTCCAACTCGGAACGTGGGACTGAGGCAGGCCAAGTTGGTGAGCCTGGCATTCCCACTGGTGAGGCTGGGCCTTCCTGCTCTTCAGCCTCTGACAAGCTGCCTCGAGTTGCTAAGTCCAAGTTCTTTGAGGACAGTGAGGATGAGTCAGATGAGGCGGAGGAAGAAGAGGAAGACAGTGAGGTAAGGGCCTGTGAGGGCAGGCAGATGCTGAAGTTGCAGAGAGGTCCTGTTTGGTTGCCGTCTGTAGTTTTCAACTCTCTTTCCTTCTCCTATTTTGACATCATCCCCCAAGACCCACTGTATTCTAAGCTTTAGTCTTGAATTCATTGAGCTCCATCATCACAGGTACCATTTGCCTTTTTACCTCTTCCTTTGTTGGTACTATAACAAGCAGATCTAGTTCTGGCTTTTCAGAGTCTGTCTCCTAGAGAGAGAACAAGGAGATAGTTGTTACCTTGGCTAGTTGACTGTTTTCTTCTCTGGAAAATTTATTTTCTGGCCACAGTGCCTGAAAGATATTTTTGGCTGGCAGCCCTTGCCTTGTCCTGGGCTTTTTGCTAGTGACTGCTAAGCCCAGTTCAGGATGTCAGTTGTACTCATGCTAGCCCTTTCCATCCCCCCAATTTTCATGACCATATACTTGTATCTTTCAGTGTTTTGAGGACCTGTGTTCAGTCAGGACCTCTTGATTCTGAGTATGAGCTGTGGGGAGGGAGGGGATCATCCCAGTCTCAGCAGTCTGGGATCCTCCCCCTGGCAGGAATGCAGCGAGGAAGAGGATGGCTACAGCAGTGAGGAGGCAGAGAATGAGGAAGATGAGGATGACACCGAGGAGGCTGAAGAGGACGATGAAGAAGAAGAAGAAGAGATGATGGTGCCAGGGATGGAAGGCAAAGAGGAGGTGTGTGGGGAAGGGGAGCAATGAGTCTTGAAAAGCCACAAGGCAGGTGTGAATCCCCTAATTTTGATTTTGAGACAGGGGATCCCCCTGATACTTTAGGATGGAAGTAATAGTCATGGGGATTTATTCTGCAAGGGGAATGAGATGGTAAGCCTTTGGGGTTGAATTATCTAAAAACAAGGGAGAGGGAGTGTGCTGCTGTCTCTAGAAAGATGAAATGTGTGCTTCTCCTGTTTGTTAAAGCTCTTTTGGGGGTCCCAGTGAAAGCAAGCATAGGTGAACGATCAGGAGCACATCAGTGAGGAACGCATGTTCAGAAGCCCCCATGATGCTCCTTTTCTTCCTCTTAAGCCTGGCTCTGACAGTGGTACAACAGCGGTGGTGGCCCTGATACGAGGGAAGCAGTTGATTGTAGCCAACGCAGGAGACTCTCGCTGTGTGGTATCTGAGGCTGGCAAAGCTTTAGACATGTCCTATGATCACAAACCAGAGGATGAAGTAGAACTAGCACGCATCAAGAATGCTGGTGGCAAGGTCACCATGGATGGGCGAGTCAACGGGGGCCTCAACCTCTCCAGAGCCATTGGTAAGGGCCAAGAAACTGGGAAAGACTTCTAGGGTCTTTCTCTCTGTCCCAGACTACCTAGTAGCAAACTTTAATCTTCCTAGTGCTTGTGCCTTTCAAAGCACTTTAATATCTACTACCTCTGTTCTTATATTTCTGTGAAATAACTAAGATGGGTAGAGGTATCATTATACATAGGTATCATTATACCCATCTTATGTAACATTTGAATGATGAAAAAGACCTGTGAGTGCCGGGCGTGGTGGCTCACGCCTGTAATCCCAGCACTTTGGGAGGCTGAGGCTGGTGGATCGCCTGAGGTCAGGAGTTCGAGGCCAGCCTGGCCAACATGGTGAAACCCCATCTCTACTAAAAAAAAAAAAAAATACAAAAATTAGCTGGGCATGGTAGTGCAAGCCTGTAATCCCAGCTACTCAGGAGGCTGAGGCAGGAGAACCGCTTGAATCCGGGAGGCGGAGGTTGTAGTGAGCCGAGATCGTGCCATTACACTCCAGCCTGGGCTACAAGAGTGAAACTCCGTCTCAAAAAAAAAAAAACAAAAAAGACTTAAAATAAAAAGACCAGTGAGTGACTTTCTTAAGGTTCAGCAGTCTGGTGGCAGGGTTGAAACTAGAAAAACTAGGACTTAGGACTCAGTTCCCCATTCCACTAGATTATGGAACTTTGTAAAGAAGGGAAATGAATGGCAAGGTTTGACCTGCCACAAACACAAGTCTGTGGGAAGTATCCAAACTGCTCATCAACCATTCCTTTACTCCAGGGGACCACTTCTATAAGAGAAACAAGAACCTGCCACCTGAGGAACAGATGATTTCAGCCCTTCCTGACATCAAGGTGCTGACTCTCACTGACGACCATGAATTCATGGTCATTGCCTGTGATGGCATCTGGTGAGCACTGGCAGAATGCCCTAAATTCCCCTTTCTGCAGCATGTCTTCTCTTATAGGACTCAGGGCACCTCTAGGATTAGAGCCTAGGCAGACCTAGGCCTCTTGGTGGGTGAAGAGCACCCAGACTAAGGCAGAGCTGAGAATTTCTGTAGTTATTTACACTGGCCTGGGCCACCACCTCTGTCCATACTCCTCTACGCTGCCTTAGTGAGACTGGAAGATTCTGACTGTTGTTCTTGACCCCAGGAATGTGATGAGCAGCCAGGAAGTTGTAGATTTCATTCAATCAAAGATCAGCCAGCGTGATGAAAATGGGGAGCTTCGGTTATTGTCATCCATTGTGGAAGAGGTGAGTACCAGGGTGGAGAAGAGAGGGTGTCTGGTCTGCACAGCCAGGGTTCACTCTTTTAATCTGAGCTAAGTCGGCAATCTGGGAGCATTATCAGTAATTGCTGACAGACGCTAAACCCCGACTCCAAAGTTCCACCTTCTGTCATTTCCCTGACTTAGCCTTATGCCTTATGGACTAGCAGGTGGGCCGTTGTGTGATACCTCTTGCCCATTCCTCTCCTACCACCCTGACTCAGCAAGCCAGCCCTCTTGTGGGACTGTAGATTCCTGGCAAGGTGTTCAAACCCTGTGGCTGAGCTACCCCCATCCCTTTCTTAGCTGCTGGATCAGTGCCTGGCACCAGACACTTCTGGGGATGGTACAGGGTGTGACAACATGACCTGCATCATCATTTGCTTCAAGCCCCGAAACACAGCAGAGCTCCAGCCAGAGAGTGGCAAGCGAAAACTAGAGGAGGTGCTCTCTACTGAGGGGGCTGAAGAAAATGGCAACAGCGACAAGAAGAAGAAGGCCAAGCGAGACTAGCAGTCATCCAGACCCCTGCCCACCTAGACTGTTTTCTGAGCCCTCCGGACCTGAGACTGAGTTTTGTCTTTTTCCTTTAGCCTTAGCAGTGGGTATGAGGTGTGCAGGGGGAGCTGGGTGGCTTCACTCCGCCCATTCCAAAGAGGGCTCTCCCTCCACACTGCAGCCGGGAGCCTCTGCTGTCCTTCCCAGCCGCCTCTGCTCCTCGGGCTCATCACCGGTTCTGTGCCTGTGCTCTGTTGTGTTGGAGGGAAGGACTGGCGGTTCTGGTTTTTACTCTGTGAACTTTATTTAAGGACATTCTTTTTTATTGGCGGCTCCATGGCCCTCGGCCGCTTGCACCCGCTCTCTGTTGTACACTTTCAATCAACACTTTTTCAGACTAAAGGCCAAAACCTAATCGTACGCATCGTGTCCTTTTTTTTCTGCTGCCGTGGCCCCCGACTTGGTCCCATCTGTAGCATGTGGCGAGCCCCCATGTGAGTGTGTGCGTGTGCTCGTGTGTGTCCTGCGCGTGTATAGGAGAGCCCAGAGCGAGCTGCTGGTAGGCCGGCCTGGCGGGCGTCGCGGCTGCCCCTCGCCCCCTCCTGCAGCCAGAAATGATCTAGTTCCCCCAGGGACAGGTTGGGACCGGTCTGGCTGGCCTGAAGCCTGGAGTCGGGCAGGACGCCTCCTGCGCTGCTCCCTGGCCGGCTCCCCGCTGCCGCTGATTGGCTTGCTCCCCGCCTCGTCACAATCACTTCCCGGTCACGCCATTGAGGCTCCCGCCGCGGCCGCTTCCCACGGACTACGCGTCCCGTGCGTCTCTGCGGCGGCGGAAGCGGAAGCGAGTACGGAGGTACCAGCTGGTCTCCGTAGGGGGGTAGGGGGCTCCATGAATGGAAGCGGCGGCGGCGGCGGGAGCGGCCTGAGCTGGGCGCCGGGGCCAGGGCCGGGGGCTGCCCAGGGCCCGCGCCGCTGCATGGGGGCGGCCCGCGGGCCCTGAGAGGAAGGGCAGACAGGCGGGCCGAGATAGGAGGGGCGGGGTCGGGCGGCCGCAGGCCGGAGGCGCGTCGGGCTGGAGCCGGTCACGATGCCCCGAAGGAAGCAAAGCCACCCGCAGCCCGTGAAATGCGAGGGGGTCAAAGGTCAGGGGTCAGGGGCCTTGAGGGGAGAGGAGCGGGGGTGGGGTCAGTGGAGTGGGCTCAGGTCAGGGTGGAGGGGGACTCCTGAGGGATGAAGTGGGCGATCCAGACTCCTAGCTTCCCACCGAGGCACTAAGGGAATCAGAGTGGGTCAGCGAGTACGGGAAGTGTGGTCCACGAGGGCTGGTTCCTGAGGGAGAATCCACAAGCCCCCTCCCCTCTTCAGTGGATACTGAAGACTCCCTCGACGAAGGACCCGGGGCCCTGGTATTGGAGAGTGATTTGCTACTAGGCCAGGATCTGGAGTTTGAGGAGGAAGAGGAAGAGGAGGAAGGCGACGGCAACAGTGACCAGCTCATGGGCTTCGAGAGAGACTCGGAAGGTGGGTTTTCGGGTCTTGGTTAAGGATTAGCGGCCGCTGGAGACCCCAGCCCTTCAGGAGGCAGGTTAGGTGAACAGAACACCATTTCCTGCCACAACCGAGGGCTGGTTTAGTTTACATTTGAGCTAGATGACTTCATTTGTTTAATGGTCCAATCACTTCCATCACTTTGTTGAGGTGAAGTTCTGAGGCCTGGTCAAAGGTGATAGGAATAGGAGGGTGGGTGAATCACATGGAGCAACTGATTAAAAGTAAATGCCCTGTCTCTCTCCCTAGCCCATTCCTTATGTGTATTTACTTTTAAGAGAGGTTCAGGGAAGCAAACTCTCTGTAAATCATTCAACCCAGTATTTAGGTCTAATCTAACTCCCTTTCACCTGCAGCGTAAGCTCCTTTTGTATTGAGAGGTTTTAGTTTCTGTCTTTATCCTTCCATGTCCCTCTTCCCTGTGATCTTAGCATCACCCTACCCTAATTTGCTGCACTACCCATCCACTTATGCAAGATGTTTTTTGAAAGTCATTGAGGGGATCCATGTAAATATCTGTTCTTTAGGCAGGCAAGTGGTATTACATGCATTACTTTCATTGTCTCCACTTCCCTCCAAATTTTGCCTCAGAGATAGGTTTTATTTTATATCAGCTCCTTACTAAAAGGGGCCTTAGCAATAGAGCTTAGAAAAAGGTCTTGGGGGCTCTCTCCCTTTCGTATTTTTACTTTCTTGTCTCAAGAATTAATTTCATTATGGATTCATTTCAGTCTGTGATCCACTGTGAGCCCTTGATCCTTGACCATTGAGGGAAACTAGATACAGGTCAATTCTACCATCACTAGATTAGTCCAGTGTAAGAGGTAGACAATTCATGTTGAATTTTCTGGAATTACTGCAGGGGAGACCTTGATTCCTAGGAGGGAACTAAAGGGATCATCAAAGCTAAGGGTGGAGCCAAGCAAGTGGGGAGACCATAAGTGAAAAGGGGAGAGTTTGGAGCCTGATCCTACCCTATGCTGATGTCTCTTCTTATGTCTATTTCACCAGGAGACTCTCTGGGGGCCAGGCCTGGGCTTCCCTATGGGCTGAGCGACGATGAGTCTGGGGGCGGCCGGGCACTAAGTGCGGAGAGTGAAGTTGAGGAGCCAGCCAGGGGTCCAGGGGAGGCCAGGGGTGAGAGGCCAGGCCCAGCCTGCCAGCTGTGTGGGGGGCCGACAGGTGAGGGGCCGTGTTGTGGGGCAGGAGGGCCGGGTGGGGGGCCCCTGCTGCCCCCACGGCTACTGTACTCATGCCGCCTCTGCACCTTCGTGTCCCACTACTCGAGCCACCTGAAGCGGCACATGCAGACACACAGCGGAGAGAAGCCGTTCCGCTGTGGCCGCTGCCCCTACGCCTCAGCCCAGCTCGTCAACCTGACACGACATACCCGCACCCACACTGGCGAGAAGCCCTACCGCTGTCCCCACTGCCCCTTTGCCTGCAGCAGCCTGGGCAACCTGAGGCGGCATCAGCGTACCCACGCAGGGCCCCCCACTCCTCCCTGCCCGACCTGTGGCTTCCGCTGCTGTACTCCACGACCAGCCCGGCCTCCCAGTCCCACAGAGCAGGAGGGGGCGGTGCCCCGGCGACCTGAAGGTAAGACACACCAGGGACCAAAGATCTTGGGACATGGGTGGCTGACCCTAGGAATGCTTGGATTGGATTCATAGCCCAGGTCTTTGTCCCCACAGATGCTCTGCTCCTTCCAGATTTGAGCCTCCATGTGCCACCAGGTGGTGCCAGTTTCCTGCCAGACTGTGGGCAGCTGCGGGGTGAAGGGGAGGGCCTCTGCGGGACTGGATCAGAACCACTGCCAGAGCTGCTATTCCCTTGGACCTGCCGGGGCTGTGGACAAGAGCTGGAGGAGGGTGAGGGTAGTCGGCTGGGAGCTGCCATGTGTGGGCGCTGCATGCGAGGAGAGGCTGGAGGGGGTGCCAGTGGGGGGCCCCAGGGCCCCAGTGACAAAGGCTTTGCCTGTAGCCTCTGCCCCTTTGCCACTCACTATCCCAACCACCTGGCCCGGCACATGAAGACACACAGTGGTGAGAAGCCCTTCCGCTGCGCCCGCTGTCCTTATGCCTCTGCTCATCTGGATAACCTGAAACGGCACCAGCGCGTCCATACAGGAGAGAAGCCCTACAAGTGCCCCCTCTGCCCTTATGCCTGTGGCAATCTGGCCAACCTCAAGCGTCATGGTCGCATCCACTCTGGTGACAAACCTTTTCGGTGTAGCCTTTGCAACTACAGCTGCAACCAGAGCATGAACCTCAAACGTCACATGCTGCGGCACACAGGCGAGAAGCCCTTCCGCTGTGCCACCTGCGCCTATACCACGGGCCACTGGGACAACTACAAGCGCCACCAGAAGGTGCATGGCCACGGTGGGGCAGGAGGGCCTGGTCTCTCTGCCTCTGAGGGCTGGGCCCCACCTCATAGCCCACCCTCTGTTTTGAGCTCTCGGGGCCCACCAGCCCTGGGGACTGCTGGCAGCCGGGCTGTCCACACAGACTCATCCTGAACTAGGTCCTTCTTCCCCATGTTTTATACAGACGGACCAGAAGCCACCTTTTTCTCCCCCGCTGGCCAGGGGCTCCACACAGACTAACGTAGGCACTATAAGGACCAGCCCAACCCCATGGGCGGGGGGGCCCATATGGACCAGGGGACCTTGCCTTGACTGAGGCACTTCACGAGCTCAGTGAGAAGGGCCCTGTATTCACCTCCACTGCCCCCAGGGGCTGTGGACAAACCGGCTGGGGGACTGCCCAGCCTCCCACCTGTTTATTTAACTTATTTCAGTGCTTTATAATAAAGGAAACACTAACAAAGCCATGTCTATGCTGAATTGGCAATGGCAGGCAATTTGGCCTTACCCTTAGCATAGTAGTCCATGCTGTGATGGGGGAAGCAGGGGCAGTGAGAGGGAACCAGAGGTAGGCAGCAGTCAGGCTGAGTTTAATGATGGGGAACTGGGCCAGACCAAACACAGACCTCTGCCCATCCCCTTGGCCTTTGGCCCATGGCTCCAAGAGGCCAGAAGCGGCCCAGAGGGAGATATGGTTCCTCCCCAAGGCAGGCAGCCATGGTCCCTTAGACTTTGTGCAAAATACTAAATGCTAATTTGGCATCGAGGGCCAGCTCTGAAAAGAGAAGGGGCAATCCTCTGTGCAGCCAGCCCAGGGGACAAGGAAAGGTAGGATACGAGGCCCCTGGCCAAGAGAAAAGGGGTAGGTAGGAAAGAAGAAGGAAAAGACCCCTCCGCCCCTAGCATGGGGGACACAGGCACAGGGCAAGTTTCTGTAAATTCCTCTGGGGTAGAGGGCAGACATCCAAGCAGTGGAGATTACAGATCCTCATCTCCAATGCCCTCGAAGGCGAAATTGCCGTGGACATCACTGGCACTGGCATCTGTGCTGGGACTGCCAATTCCCCGCAAGCTCACGGCACTCAGCTTACTCTGTAACAAAGGCAGGGTGGGGTCAGAGATCTTGGGCGTGCAAGATCCCCCAACAAACAGCAACCTCACCAACGCTGGAACTCACTGAGAGTTTGACCATAGACTCCCGGGTGGCATCAGGTGACTCCTGGGGAAGAAGAGGCAGAGGTGTCAGAAACTCACTAGGAGAGGTGAGGCAGGGCTGAGAGCCAGGGTTCTGACCAGGAGGTAATACTTACAAGCAGTGGTGGGGACTTCACTGCTTGCTGGCTGTCTGAGCGTCTCAGAGTACCCCCCACCCGCCGGCGCAGCATCTGGGGACAGACACAAGGTGCCGGTGAGGGCAGGATCACTTCCCCTCCCTCTCAAGACAAGCCTCACATCTAGGACAAAAGGCAAGGGGAGCACACCTGCTCACTGCTCAGTCCACACTTGCTGCCTACCTTCCTGATACTGCCGCCAGATTTCTTCACCATCAGTTCATCAACCATGGACTGCAAGCAGATGCTCATCATGATAGCCTGAGGGCAAGAAGAGTGTCCAGCTTGATGAGAGTGGTCACTCTGAGCCCAGCACCACTAATGCCTCCCATATTGAGTACTGGAAACTCTACACTTTAAGGTGCTCCAGAGGAGGGCTGAGGGTAGGTTCACACCTGGGGGCTAGTGATGGTGACCCACTGTAGCCGGTCCTTGCTCATGAGGTATTCAAAAGCCAGTTCCAGGCGCACCTCACCCCGGCCCCGGCCTGGGCTGCTCGTGCTTCCACTGGGCAATGGTACCTGGGAGAGGAAGGGGAATTCGGTTGAGTTCACTCTGACCAACCTGTCTGGCTCCCTGACCCGCTGCAGCCCATACCTAAGCTCAAGGCTTGCCGGGCCCCCAACCCAGGCCCTTCCCCCTCCTAACCCGACTCACAGAGGAGGTGACCCGCCAGCATCGCATGCGGGTGACCCGGAAGGAGCCTTCTCGGAGTTGCTGGCCAGGCAGGCGGAGCTGCAGGCTGAGCTCACTGTTGCCCGCGCTCACCACCACAGGACAGTCCTTTTCTGGGAAGTCAGCCACACAGGCATCAAAGCGCAAGTAGCCATAGTGCCGCAGCGTCTGGGCCAGTCTCAGGAACTGAAAAATGGTCATCACATGGGGGTAGATTAGGAGGGAGAATGGGGCAGCTCAGAAAAAGCAACCCCGGTCGGGCGCGGTGGCTCATGCCTATAATCCCAGCACTTTAGGAGGCAGAGGCAGACAGATCACAAGGTCAGGAGCTCAAGACCATCCTGGCTAACATGGTGAAACCCTGTCTCTCCCAAAAATACAAAAAATTAGCCGGGCGTCGTGGCGGGTGCCTGTAGTCCCAGCTACTCGGGAGGCTGAGGCGGGAGAATGGCATGAATCTGAGAGGCAGAGCTTGCAGTGAGCCAAGATCGCGCCACTGCAAGCCCTTAGAGGAAGACAGAGAGGAGGCAGGGCTCACCTCCTTCTTGGAGACTTTCTCTTGCAGAGATTTGAGTTGCCGGTGCTGTTCCTTGGTGACCAAGATCCACCCACGCTCAATATCTGATACCGTCTATAGTAGAGACAAGGGGCAGGCAGTAGGAGGTCCCAGTCAGCAATCCAAGGAAAGCGTCTACCATTACCTCTGTCCAGCCTGACCCCTAGCCCCACACTTGAGCGACCTCTCTGCAGTAAGTCCTTGATCTTGTCAGCTTAATAAAAGTAGGGAGAGTAGATATTGTGCCAGCAGCACTGATAGTATTCTAGGAACTTCCCCACAAATTGGGAACAAAGACACGACAGCAGTTTTCTTGGGAGAGTGAGTCACCCGTTATTTTCTTCAGGGGAAGGGTTCTGAGGCAGCTCCAAGCTCACCTGAGCATAAAGCAGGTTCAGGCCAACCCGGTTCTCCATGACATCGTCATCATAGGCAGAGTCCCAATAACTGTGAGGCCAAGGGGTGGAAAGGGGTAATGGGGCTAAGCTGGGTTAAGGCAAGAGGTAGAATGGAAAATGGGCAAAACAGGAGCAATCTGGAACTATCAGGGGCTAATGGTATAGTGGGAGGAAGCTTGGGAGGCCTGGCAGAAACACCCAGCACTACACCCCCTTGTCCAGATTATTCTGTCTCAATATGTGGCCCAATAATCCAATCCAGCACAGCACCTCCCACCCCTCCCCTTCCAGGCCCAGCCCTGACCTCTTCCTTAGCACAATCTTATACTCTTGACTCCGAAGGCTGGTGACAGACACATAAGGCAGCTCAAACTCTTGCAACTTCCGTACAACTACAGGTTAAAAAAAAAAAAATGAAAATATAGTGAGATTTAAAGGAAGGGAAATCAAGAAAGAAGTGCCCTGAGGCAATGTTCATTCTGGGGGTGGGGGTGGGGAGTTAGGGGGGCTGCAAACTCTACTGAAGTACCCTTGTACTGCAGTCAAGTCCAGAGAAACTCACAAGAAAAGGCTCCATCCTCTTTTTCTCGAACTAAGAATAGACTAAAGTATCCAATCAAGTCATCTGGAAGATCCAGCTTTGCAGCTACAGCCTGGGGATAGGGATAGAAGTACAGCTCATCATACTGGCTGGTTCCAATCATTCTCCAAGCCCAGGACCCCAGGATGTAGGGGAAGAAGGGGCAGTGCTGAACAAGCGCCTCACCTCCAGGACATCCTCAGTCTGATCTGAAGTTAGCACGTTGACCAGAACTTTCTGCCCGTTGCTGAGCAGCACTTCCAAGGACACTTCCTCTGTGGGGACCTGCTGTGTCTCCTGTTGTGAGCACACATGGGGATGGGAAGCACTGCCTTGTCCCTTGCCTTGACCTATGCCCAACTCTATTTCTAGGTCCCTTGTGTGTCTTTATTCTCAGCTGCTTAAATATAGGCTGTGATTTCTTTGATTTCATAAGAATAGAAGTTCCATTCCATTAAAAAAGATGACTCCTCTGTTATTAAGATGACATGGCCTGGCTGGGTGTGGTGGCTCACACCCGTAATCCCAGCACTTTGGGAGGCCAAGGCGGGTGGATCACCTGAGGTCAGGAGTTCGAGACCAGCCAGGCCAACACGGCAAAACCCCGTCTCCACTAAAAATACAAAAATGAGCCGGACATGGTGGCAGGCGCCTGTAATTCTAGCTACTTGGGAGGCTGAGGCAGGAGAATCGCTTGAATCCGGGAGGCGGAGATTGCAGTGAGCTGAGATCGCACCACTGCACTCCAGCCTGTGCAAAAGAGCAAGACTCTGTCTCAAAAAAATAAAAGACATGACCTTCCAGCAAGGTCCTTTCCTTAAATCTTGGTCCCACCCAAAGCCCTACCTGTTGTGCCCGACGCAGGAAACTGTTGAAAGTCTCGCTGCTCCCAAGCAATGGGTCTTGCCGAACTACGAGGACAAGAGAACATTATTACAGGAACTTAGCACTCACTCTTGGCTCCCCAGTCCTCCTCTCAGTAGGTTCCCCCGACCCCATTTCCTGGGCTGATGGTGGCCTGCCACATCCCCCAGCTGGCCTCACCTCACTCACTGTTTGCATAAATTCTTCACCTGCCCCACCCTTGGCTGCCATCTAGGTGAGTCCAGTCTATAGAACTAGGGAAATAACAATGATGTTAATCTAAAGCACATCAGATACAAATTAAGTTCTCTCCACTGATATTAAGACTAGTGTTATACTAGTATTTCTCATAGATGTTAGTGCCCAAATTGTTTTGCTAGTACACAGAGTTACACATCCTCGTACACTATTTACTTTGCTAACTGCATAACAGATCAAACAAGAGCCTTCCTAGATCTAGAAATTAAATCAGGCCCTTCCACAGAACCAGCTGTTTTTAAGTCTCTCCCCATAGTCCTCAATATAGTCAACCTAGTTTCCTGCAACCACTCACCAGCTTGCATGTACTTCTCTAACTGCTCTCTCCTCTGTTCTACCTCAGCAGGAGTCAGAGAGAAAAGCTTCTTTGGGGGGAATGCAGGAAGCACATTGGCCCCATACTCCTTCCGAAGCTATTTAGAGAAAGAGATACAACCCTTCACATAAACACAGAAAATGAGATGAGGCAATCTACATATGCTCATAATGTTCTCTTGGGTGCCCCTCCCTTCCCTCAGTCCCTGTTCCCCTGTCTACCCTGGTCATCTGAGAAACAATTCCTTTGACAGCGGTAGCACCTCAAGGGAGCTGTCCTAGATATAAGTTGTGCTCTATTTTACTGTGTACAAGTCAGCCCCTCCACAGTACGGGGAGGATTTGTACTGGGCCAGGACCTATAGGGAGCCCCTTGACCACCTAGCAAGACTGTTCACTGAACCCTTAAAGGAAGGAAAGGGCTTTATAAAGTGCACAGTTAATAGCTAAGTCTGTTCACAAAATATCTTAGGACTTAAAGGGACTTTGCAGATCAAAGAATCCATCTTTCAGTTGTAGAAACTGAGGCCCAAAGAAATCAGTTTCTACAGGCCTCATGCCTGTAATCTCAGCATTTTGGGAGGCAAGGTGGGTGGATCACCTGAGGTCAGGAGTTTGAGACCAGCCTGGCCAACATAGTGAAACCCCTCTCTACTAAAAATACAAAAATTAGCTGGGTGTGGAGGCAGCCGCCTGTAATCCCAGCTACTCAGGAGGCTGAGGAAGGAGAATCGCTTGAACCCAGGAGGCAGAGGTTGCAGTGAGCCGAGATCGTGCCACTGCACTCCAGCCTGGGCAACAAGAGAGAAACTCCGTCCCAAAAAAAGATATCAGGTAACTTGTTCAGGGTTGCACAACTAATTATCAGTGGAGCTCTACTGAGTTAAATAGAGTTTAAGATCTGGTAAGGAAGGAGGAGAAACATTGCATCACAGATACATAACGATAATTGGCACAGCTAAACACACTGAAATGAGCCGAAGAACACAAAAGGAAATCGGTGAATCGTTTGTATAAGCAGGGAAAAGAATTTCAAGTTGCCGCTCAGATGACAGAAGGAATGTGCTTTGACAGCCTGGGTGGAGGTAGTGGGGGGAGGGGTTGGTTTGTCCATGCAGGGGTAAAGGCTACTAGAGCAGTAAGACTGGACAGAAAACCAGAATATAAGAACAGGAAGGAGCAGTTGTTGCGCGGACATTAAGCTTCTTAGGGAGTTCCCGGAAATGTCAGACAAGATAAACCAGGGCCCTACCCTGTGGCAGTGATTAAAGGGGAACTACAGCCTACGGGAACAAGAAGAGCGGGTAAAGGGAGACACTGATGTCCACGTGTAGGGAAGGGCTTGAAGCTGTCTCAAGGCAGGGGTGCTAGTCCCACCTGCTCGTGCAGCCCCAGGAGCTGGCTGTAGCGCACCCGACAGTGCAGGACTCCATTCACGTGAATGTTATAGGCCTGAGGACACAAAAGTAGTCAAGCATTTTAGGGTTGCGGTCTGCGCAACCCCCCTGAGAACCCTGGCCGGAAGTTGCCTGGCAACTCGCCGGAGTAACGCGCTAATCTCCCGAGGGATAGTTCGCTTGTTTTCGCCAGGGCCAAGTCCCAAAGCTGAAGAGCCAGTCCGGGGGAAATTCGGACGCTTGTGTTGCAGTCTCACTGCCCAAGAGGCCAGTGACGCCCACCAGGGCAGCTGCGGCCTAGCTCGGGGAAGCGACCCGGCCTAAGGGCCTACAGGAGCTCGGGCGACCACTGCACGAATCACACACATGAGATAAGCTCCCAGAGAGGCCGTCGGGAGTCGGCGGCCCAGGACCAGGCCCGAAGGGTGGCGGTCAGGCCTCAGAGGCCGCTCCGAGATGGCTCGGGCCCGTTATCCCCGCCCCTGCCCGGCCCGGCTCGGCTCCGGCCGCTCCTCACCACGTAGGCGGAGCCGCCGCTGTCCCCGCTGCGGGACTCGGTTTCGGGAATGGAAAAGTGCATGTTCCCTACGGCACGGCACGGCCGGGCTCCGGACTGTGAGGGCCGCAGCGGCTCTGCACGCTCCCCCTCCGCTGCTCAGCGAGTCCCCGCAGCCTCACTCGCCATTTTGGGAGCCCTGCGATCCGATGTGGGAAGGCGGTGGGACGTCGGTTCTGGGACGCAATCGCCTGGGCATGCTGGGAACTGTAGTCTAAAGGGCAAGAGCCACCTGTCCGGATAGGGAGCCCAAAGTGGAGTTGGCCCTCATTGCAACCCGTAGTGCGGGGCGGGGCCTCGGGGCCCGTCGGAAATTGTAGTCCGATTGGGGCTGCGCGCTTCGCTTCTGCGGCTCAGCCTCCAGCCCAGGTGGCGCTGTGGACCCTGCAGCCGCGGAGCGAGGCAGCGGGGCGGCTCCGTGACCACGGCGGGCGGAGCCTAGGACTGAGGGCGATGGCTGCTGTGGCCGTGGCTGTTCGCGAGGGTGAGTGAAGAGCCGGGCCTGCCTACTGGTACGCGGAGCCGACGAGCTCCGGACAGCTAGTGCCGGGCCTTGAGCGCCTTTGGGCCCCGCCGCTCCGTTCCAGCGCCACGCTGGGCTCCGGTCTACACAGTCTCGAGCGCAGTCCCGCGCCGCGCACCGGCTGGTTGCTGTGAGGAGGGTCGGTGACCCCTCCATTCCTTTGATCCGCCGCGCAGTGCGTCCCCACGCGGATCCCTGGCTCGCCTCGCGCCTGCCGGCGGATCCGTGGTCATGCCAACCCAGCAGCCGGCTGCGCCGAGTACTCGTGCCCCCAAACCCTCCCGGAGTCTCTCTGGCTCACTTTGTGCCCTGTTTTCTGATGCAGACTCGGGATCCGGGATGAAGGCGGAGCTTCCCCCTGGGCCTGGGGTAAGTGAGGCTTCCCTCCCAAGCCGCCTGCCAAGCGCTACGCAGGAGGCTGTGCCAGCTTTATTCCGCCCCAGCTCCCATCCCGTGTCGGTTTATTTCTCAGTAAAGCCAGGAGATTTTACAGAGGTCTTGCAACCCTAGGGATATATGATTCTGTCCCTGGAGGAGAAACGTCAGCCTCTGTGGATGTAAGCTTGCAACAGGTAGCTTGTGGAAGTTAGGAAGAACTAGGGATTTAACCATGTGGAAATCTTGTAAGCATCCAATAGTATTTGTTCCCCTTTGGAATTGTTGGGGAAGAGCAGTATCCTATGTCTGTGTCTCAGGCAGTGGGGAGGGAAATGACCAAAGAAGAAAAGCTGCAGCTTCGGAAGGAAAAGAAACAGCAGAAGAAGAAACGGAAGGAAGAAAAGGGGGCAGAACCAGAGACTGGCTCTGCTGTATCTGCAGCCCAATGTCAAGGTGAGTGAGGGGTCTCTTTTAAAGGGCTGGGGTGTGGAGCTGGTAGAGGGATGTGGTGGGAGAGATAAGGGAGAGACAGGACAAAGTTGATTTGAGCAAGTGTGTAAAGCAAAGAGGTTTACAAGGAGAGAAGCTAGTTTTAGCTGGGGCACGGATATCACCTGCCTGCAGCTTGGGCATTTTTTTTTTTAATGCTTTTAGTAGGCCCAACCAGAGAACTGCCAGAATCGGGCATTCAGTTGGGCACTCCTCGGGAGAAAGTTCCAGCTGGTCGGAGTAAGGCCGAACTTCGGGCTGAGCGTCGAGCCAAGCAGGAGGCCGAGCGGGCCCTGAAACAGGCAAGAAAAGGGGAACAAGGAGGACCACCTCCTAAGGCCAGCCCCAGCACAGCTGGAGAAACCCCCTCAGGTATCTTCCCTTCATTTTAAGACCTCCCTTACTCCTAATTATAACGCCAGCTCAGGCTGCCCAATAGTAAAACAGCTCTCCCCTCTCATTCTTGGGACCCAGAGTTCTGAATTGTTCCTGCAACCCCATTATCCTATCCCTATTTCCTTTTCTACCCTATTCTCCCGTTTTCTCCACCTCATCCTGTTTTTCTTGATGCCCCTTATACCCTAAGAGCAAATTACACATTTCAAGACCTACAGTGTCCTGAAAACATGATGATTATCTTTCAGGAGTGAAGCGTCTCCCTGAGTACCCTCAGGTTGATGACCTACTTCTGAGAAGGCTTGTTAAAAAACCAGAGCGTCAACAGGTAGGAAGTGGGTTTGGTGCCTGGCTAGAAAGAGCCTAGGGAAATGGACTGGAGGGAGGAAAGGTGCTGGGTGCAAAGTGAGAAGGATAGGTGCTTGGGTCAGAGTAGTCTTACTGTTCACTTCCTTTCCAGCTTTATCCCATCCTTTTTAAACTCTGGGCCATTGGTCCTGTTCCCTTGTTTTGTCAAGGTTCCTACACGAAAGGATTATGGATCCAAAGTCAGTCTCTTCTCTCACCTACCCCAGTACAGCAGACAAAACTCTCTGACCCAGTTTATGAGGTAGGATCCTATGAAATTGTCATAACTTTTGAGTCTGAGGAGTTTTAGTAAGTCAGTATTGAAAGTTTCTAGTAATCTGAGATGGACTCTGTAGGAAAAAGTATGAACCCAAGGCAGAACTGTAGAGGAGTGGGGAAATCTGCTAGTGAAGGGAGTTCCTTTTCATCAGGGGCAGGTGGGCAGTAGATGCTCAAGCTCCCTTTCAAAGTATGTGACACCGCCATCCCATCAGCATCCCATCCTCTGTGAT